>NC_000004.12:115891077-116042593 GCF_000001405.40 Homo sapiens
AGATGAGTTATGAATTTTTACATCACAAAAGATGTGAAATGGTAATGGGAAAATCACTACATTGCAAATGGTGAATTTTCTGTTAAAATAATAACTCTCATAACATCATAATAAAAAGTATATATATGGCAAAAACAGTTTTATGAAAGAAAAGAGACAGATTAACAACTATAGGTGAAGAACTTGTAGTTCCATTTCTTAAGTGGATTTCATCATCTTCCACATTCCTCTCTTCTGGATTTCCATGTTTGTATACAATGCCATTTCCTCTTTCATAATAACATTATCATACCTGTAATTACCCTCTTTTTCTCCTTCATCTTCAGTTTTTTCTATGTTCTAGATCATTTCTATCAGCATAAAACAGTTTTTTCTCCTCATGTTTTAAAATGCTTTTGACACTGCTTCACCATCAAAAACAATTTTATTTCTTTGTTTCTATATGCAACAAAACTTCTCAACTTCTTGACTATATTCATTGTCTCCAATTCCTTGTCACTCACTTTTTCTAAAGTCACTCTAATCAGGCTTTCATCTCAAGTAATCAAAAGAAACTCTAAAGATAAGGTAATTACTGAGTTCTCTGCCACTAAGTCTGAAGGCAAAATTTCAGTCCGATATACTTAACTTCTGAAATTAACCAGGCAATTCATTCCCTCATTTAAAAATAGATTCTCTTATGCTTGCCTGTAAGATAAAGCAATTTTCTCATTTCTTTCTATCTCACACTCTAATTCTTTTCAATCTTCTTTGTAACTTTCTCTTCGTCTTCCCAACATAAGATTTCAGTCCCTATATTCATTTTTTCCCTTGATGATATAATTCAGTTTTAAGACTTTAACAACTACTTGTATGCCAATTACACTGTTGAGATTTCCTGATTAAACTTTTATTCCAGAAACTTCTTGATTTTTGATTCCCTACCTGAGTATCTAATAAACACCAGAAACAAACAAACAAGTCCAAAATGGAATTATTTTAATTCTGATTATCAGCATCCTAACACAAAATGGAACAAAATTAAAAAGATTGTCCATTTCTTGCTACATATTTCATAAATGGAAAATGTATCATTGGCTTTTCTTGTTCTCTTACCACCTATATGAATTCCATCAGTAACTTCTGTTGATTATCTTCATAATCTAGTTAGAATCACATCTATGAAATCCCTAGACATAAAACTGCAATATCAAATATGAAAAATACACTGGTTAACATGAACTGATTTGATATTTGAGGAGAAAGTGTAAGTGAAATGTAAGATATAGTAATAAAAAACTATTCAAAATAAAAAAACACTGGAAAAATAAATTGTAAAAATGGAAAGAAGAGTAGTAAGTTTTGGTATACATTCCAAAGGTCTAATATGCATTTAATTGGAGTTACTAAGGAGGGGAGAGAGAGATGAAGCATTGTGATGATTAATTTTATGTGTCAACTTGGATGGTGTTTTCAGGGGAGAATAATATTTAAATCAGTGAAATTTAAGTAATTAGATTGACTTCCATAATATGAGTGGGCTTCATTCAATCAATTCAAGTACTGAATGAAACAAAAATACTGGTCTTTCGGCGTAAGAGCCTCCTTTGTCCTGCCTTTAGAGTTTATATGCTCCCTTATATCTCCTGGGTTTCCCTCTGTTGGCCTTCAGACTTCATTCGCACCATTAACTCTCCTGGGCCTCTGACTGCTGGCTGCCATACTGTCTGTACCATTGGCTCCCTGTATATTGAGTTGGCTGGCCCACGCTACAGGTTTGTATTCGCCAGGCTCCATAATCACATAAACCAATTTTTTATATTAAATTTCTTTTTATACGCATATATATTCTGTTAGTTGTCATCCTCTGGAGAACCCTAATTAATATAGATTTTGGTACTATGAGTGTTTTAAATAAACAGAATCTTAAGAATAAATTTTCTGAGTTGGTTTTAGAGTTTCTGAAACTAATATAATCTGATTAGTTTTAAAGATAATTGTAACTTTATTTCCAGTAATAAAGAAAGCACTAATAGCCCATGGTATAATCTGGCTAATAGGCAAAATATTGCCCTCGGGTACTCCTAATCAAATATTTATAAAAAGCAAGGATCTGATGTGCATATGATACTTTTGAACATTTTTGTCAAACTAAGGAATATGAGATTGGCAGATTCTTCCTAATGTAACTAGACAAAGTGGGTGTGTGTGGGATGAGTTCAGGAATTCAAATTATGAGCTTAACAGCAGCACACATGACATGAAAGTTTCTATGGCTGGCCTGACAGAGGACTCTTACCTCCTGTAGCTACTGGGTTGAGATTACTGAAAACCAAACTTAGAATTATACTCTATGGCTGGGCGTGGTGTCTCACCCCTGTACTTCCAGCACTTTGGGAGGCTGAGGTGGGCCAATCACCGCCGGTCAGGAGATCTAGACCAACCTGACCAACATGGTGAAAACCTGTCTATACTAAAAATACAAACAATAGCTGGGCATGGTGGTGTGTGCCTGTAATCCCTAGCTACTAGGGAGACTGATGCACAAGAATTGCTTGAGCCTGGCAGGCGGAGGCTGCAGTGAGCCGAGATCGCGCCACTGCACTCCAGCCTGGGCGACAGAGCAAGACTCTGTCTCTAAATAAATAAATAAACAGAGTGACACTCTATGAATGGCTGGAATGGCCAATTTACATCGCAAATTGAACTCCGAGTGTCACAGTATGTCTATTATTAAAGTGAGGAAATTGATTGGAAAGGAATGGGATCATGAAAACAAGAATGGAAACTTGTAGAAAGATCCTAGTGAAGCTTGGGTAATTAAGTCCTGTAGAAATACCCTAGTGAAGCTTGGGTAATTAAGCCCTTAAATTCTAAAGACTCTTCTTTGCCTGTATAAGGAATATCTCCATCACCAGTTGATGCACCCTCTTCATTCTCTCCTGAGAGGGTTAACCCTGAATTGCCTGAGAAAACTCTCATGGTGTCCCCTGAAGCAGTTGTCTTGCAAGACAATGCTAATTCTCCTCAGGACCCATTCCCACCACTTCTCTTTGCTTTTAAACTTACTCAAGGCTCAGGTTCCAGCAGGTAGCCGGCCCCCAGAGGAAAGGTACAAAGTGTGACCCATGAAGAGCTGTGCTACATTCCAAAAGAACTACTTGAGTTTTCTAATTTATATACAGAGAAATATGGGGGATATGCATGGGAATGGATATTAAGAGGGTGGGATAATTGTGAAGGTAACAAAAAGTTGAATCAGGACAAATTTACTGATACAGACCTACTGAGCAGAGATTCTGTAGTGTTGCAGCTCAAGGAGTTAGAAAGTGTGCTCTCTATTTGTTTGCTTAGTTGGCTGAAATGTGGACCAAAGGTGAAGAAAGTGAGTGAGCTTGAATTCTCAGACTTGAATTGGTCCAGAGGGATTTAAAGGCTTAGGGAGATTGAAATAGCAGAGTAGATGTGACATTTAAGATCTCTATTCACCTGATCTTGAAGTGTCCAAAGACACACTGATCTTGAAGTGTCCAAAGACACACATTTCACCACAACTATGAGAAATAAATTTATGGGGAAAGCTCTAGCATCTTGAACTCTTTGATTGCTCTTCTCTGTTAGCCAGAGCTTACAATGGGAACCACAGTCACTAAATTGGAAAACCTAAATACAATAAGGGTAGTTGAATCCTGAGGTAGCAAGAGTGAAATTGGATCCCACCCAAGGTAGCAGGGACCAGCACCCAACCACCAAATACAAAGTGGGCAGAGTTACCATAATGCACAACAGAGTTAAAACACAACTCCAGAGTATGGTACTCTGATTTGTGCAGAACTATGGTATCAGCTAGTTGATGATGGTGATTCTAGAAGTAAACTAGATAGAAAAATCTACAAAATTCTAACTTGATTTGTATAAGCAGAAAAGTTTGAGGCAAAGTAAATAATACTCAAATCTGAATCATAAAAACAGAGTTACAGCCTCTCAATCAATCCCCAGACTTAAGCCAGTTTATAGATGTAGAACTACTTGAATAAAGGGGAGGCTGGATCTCTTTGAGGAAGAAAAATAGTACACTACCAAAAATTTATATTGTTAATATTTCTCTCGGGCTTCCCCAAAGGAAACTATAGTCTTTTATCAGGATAATTGTGCATTGGGGAAAAGGAAATAACCAGATCTTCCAGGAACCACTAGACACTTGCTCTGATAAAACACTAATTTCAGGAAATCCAAAATTTTATTGTGGTCCATCAATAAGTGTAAGAACTTATGGAGGTCAGGTGATCAATGAAGTTTTCACTCACGTCCATCTCACAATAAGCCCAGTCGGTGCCTGCATAATTGCAATAGATATACTAAGAAGCTATCAGAATTCCTCTATTGGCTCCATGGCCTGTGGAATGTGTGCTATTATGGTGAAAAATGGCAGATGGGAGTTGCTAGAACTCTCTCTACCAAGGAAAATAGTAAATAAGAAACAATACTACTTTCCTGGAGGGATTGCTAAGATTGGTGCCACCATTAATGGCTGAAAAATGCAAGAGTGGTGATTCAAACCGCATCTCTATACAAAAATCTAATTTGTCCTATGCAGAAGACAGATGGGTTTTGGAGAATGACAATGGATTATCATTTATTCAGGTGGTCCCTCCAACTGCAGCAGCTATACCATATGTGGTTTTATTGTTTCAGCAAATTAACATATTCTCTGGTAATTGGTATGCAGCTATTAGTCTGTGAAATGGCTTTTTCTCCATTTCTAGTCATAAGGCCAACTATAAGCAATTTCCTTTACCTGGCAAGGCCAGCAATATACTCTCATTCTTCCACCTCAAGGGTATATAAACTCTCCAGTTCTATGTCATGATTGAATTCACAGGAATCTTGAACTTCTTTCTTTTCCATAAGCTATCACACACTGGTCCATTAAATTGATTACTTTATGCTGATTGGAACGAGGGATCAAGGAGTAGCAACTGCTGTAGACTTACTGGTAAGACCATTAGGTGCTAAGGATGTTAAATAAATCTCACATATCTCAACATTTCAGGAGACTTGCACATCAGTGAAAATTTCAGAGGGCCCGTGGTGTGGGGCAATACCCTCTAAGGTGAAGAATAAGTTGTTACATCTGGCCCCCACCACAACCAAAATATAGATATAATGACTAATGAATCACTTCAAGTTTTGGAGACAGCATATTCTTCATTCAAGTGTGTTACTCTGGCCCATTTACCAAGTGACCTGGAAAGTCATTCGTTTTGAGTAGGACACAGAACAGGAGTAGACTCTGCAAAAGGTCCAGGATGCCTTACAAGCTGCTCTGCCATTTGACCCATATGATCAAGCAGATTCTTAAAGTGTCATTGGTAGATAAGAATGCTGGTGGAAGCCTTTGGCAGACCCCTATAGATGTATCACAGACCAGGCCCTTAAGATTTTTGAGCAAAGCCATGCCATCTTCTGCAGATAACTACTTTTTGAGAAACAGCTTTTGATCTGCTGCTGGGCCTTAGTAGAGTTAGAATGATTAACCATAGGCCACCAAGTTACCATGTAGTTGGAGTTTTCCATTATAAATTGGCTATTATCTTACTCAGTAATCCATAAATGCAAGCATACACCAACACTCTATTCCCAAATAAAAATTGTATATATGAGATTGGACCTGAGCCATCCCTGAAGACACAAGTTAAATAGAAAAGTGGCCTAAGGTCCATGGTCCCCATTCCTGCTATACTACCTTCACTCTCCCAGCCTTATAAATAATCACCCAAGATCAGTTAACAGAGGAAGATTAAACTCAGGCTTGGTTTACAGATAGTTTGCGTGATTCTAACCACATATGAAAGTGGTCAGTTGAAGCACCACAACCCCTTTCTGTACATCCCTGAATGAAAGTAGTGAAGAGAAATCTGTAGTGTGCAGAAATTCAAGCGTGCACCCAGTTATTCACTTTTCTTAGAAGACTAAATGGTCCCACCTATGATTAGGTATTGATTCTTGGGCTATATTCAATGGTTTGGCTGGATGCTTTAAGACTTAGAAGGAACAAAAGAGAAAAATTGACAAGAAAATCTGGAGAAGAGCTTTGTAGATAGACCTCTCCAAAAGACTGAAAAACGTGAAGACGTTTGTGTCACATGGAAGTGACCACCAAGTGGTGTTAAATAAGAGACACAATTTAGCAACTGAGTGGATGACTATGGATAGAAGTCAGCTTCTTTTGCCAGCCATCCTTGTCATTGCCCAATGAACAAATTGGCCATGGTGGCAGGGACGGAAATTACGTACGGACCCAGCAACATGAACAGCTGCCGTCAACCTGGCTAAGCTTCTGCTGAATGCACAATCTGCCAGCAGCAGAGACCAACACTGAGTCCCTGAAATGACACCATTCACTGTGGTGATCAACCAGCTACCTTTTGGGTAATTGGTTACATTGGATCTCTTTCATTATGGAAGGAGCAATGTTTTGTTCTTATTAGAACAGGCACTTACTATGAAAATGATGACCCCTCCCTGCATTCAATGCTTCTACCAAAACTACCATCTGTGAACTTACAGTATGTCATATCCACCTACATCATATTCCATACACATTGTTTCCAATCAAACAACTCACTTAGCAGCAAATGATGTGTGGCTACTGGACATTTTTCATGAAATTCACTGATCTCACCATGTTCCCCACCATCTTCAAGCCACTGGCTTCACAGAGCCATGGAATGGCCTTTTAAAGGCTTGGTCACAGTGCCAGCAAGGTGGAAGTACCTTGCAGGCCTGAGAAAGTTTATTCAGGAGCCTGTATATGCTCTGAATCATCATCCCATATATGGTTCTGTTTCTTCATAGTCAGGATTCATCAGTCCAGGAATCAAAAGGTACAAATGAGAGTGGCACCACTCACTATTATGCCTAGTGACCTGCTAGAAAAGTTGTTGCTTTCTATTCCCACACACTTATTCTCTGTTTGCCTAGAGATCTTAGTAGTAAAGGGAGGAAAGCTTTCATCAGGAGGCACAACAATTCTATTCAACTAGAGTTAAGATTACATCCAGACATTTTGAACTCCTCATGCCTCTGAATTAACAGGCAAAGAAAGATGCTATTGTGCTGGCTGTGGTAAGTTTTCCTTACTATCAAGCGGAATTTGGTACAAAGTAGGCAGAGTTACCATATTTTGTGGACAAAATAAAGAGAGTATGTCTGGTCTGGAATACAGGATATCCCCTAGGGTATATGCTGGTATTACCATGCCCTGTGGTTAAGGTCAATGAACAACTACAACATCTCAATTTAAGCAGGGCTACTAATGACTCAGGCTCTTTAGAAATAAAAGTTTGGCTCACTCCACCAGGTAAAGAATTATAACCATTTGAGGCTCCTGCTGAAGACAAAAGGGGTATGGAATGGATTGTGAAAAAAGGTAGTTATGAAGACCAGCTATGACCATGATACCAGTCATAGAAATTAGGACTGTAATGTCGTGATTGTTCTCTCCTTATTTTGTTATAACTATGTCTGTGTGTGTATATATAGCAAATGTCTTTGTTTTCTTCGCCCTCTTATCCCCTTCATTTAACATAAAAGGGATTGACTTTATATCATAGTACTTAAGTATTGTGAACTTTATATCATAGAATTCATATTAAGGGATATCACAGAGAATAGTAAACATTTTCCAAGGGATGTGCTTCTTCTTCTAAGATACCTAAGTCTTAAAAATGAAGAACTTCTTGCCATTTGTGACAATATAGATAAACTGGAATACATAATACTAAATGAAATAAGCCAGATGCAGAATGATTAATACTGTGTGGTCTCACTTATGCATGGAATATAACAACAAAAAAGTTGAAGTCATAGTAAGAATAGAATGGTGGTTACCAGGGGTCAGGGTCTTGTTCAAGTGGGAGGAGATGTATTTGATCAAAGCATACAAACTTTCAGTTATAAAAGGGATAACTTCTGGAGACCTAAAGTACAGCATGGTTACTTTAGTTAATGTGTTATAAAAAATTCAGAAAATTTTGAGTAAGCAGATTGCCCTCCATAATTTGGGCGGGCCTCATTCAATAAATTGAAATCCTGGATAGAACCAAAATTCCAGGCTCCTGGAGCAAGAGTGAGAGTGGCACCACTCACTATTATGCCTAGTGACCCACTAGAAATCCTCCTGCAGACTGCATTTCGACTTCATCTGCACCATCAGCTCTCCTGGGTCTCTGCTTGATGACCCACACTGATTATGTGGACATGCCAGCCCTCATAATCACATGAGTCAGTTTCTTATAATAAATCTCTTAATTTATTCTTAATTTATATAAATTGTATGTATAAAATATATACATATTATGTATATATTCACTTTACATATGTATATACACCAGATGCACATACAAACACATGCACTACCTAATGTTTCTATTTCTCTGGAAAACTATGACTAATACAATCAGAAATAAATAAATGAACTAAAAATGTCTCAATTTTTTCCAAAATTGATGATAACTATAATCCCAAAGAGCCAAGAATATCAACAAACTCCAAACACAGAATTACGAATAAAACAACACCAAGCAAAAACAAAAATCAAATTGCTGTAAAGCAGTGACAAAGAAAGTACTTAAAAAACAGCTAGAAAGAAGACACATCACATAGAAGAACTAACATAAAAATGACAACATGTTTCTTATTAGAAATAATGCAGCAGAGCAACATTTTTAAGTTACTGAAAGACAAAAACTGCTAACAAACTAGAAATATATAACCAGTGAACATACCTTTCACAAATGAAGATGGTACAGACTATTAAAACATACAAAACTGAAAGAATTTATTACCAGTTGACTCACACTGTAAGAAGTAGTAAACAAAGCTTTTTAGGCAGAAGAAGAAGAATACAAAATGGAAATACAAGCCTATACTAAGCAATGAAAGTCAATGAAAACATTAAAAACTTGGAAAAAATATCCAGTTGAAAATTTGAAACTGATGCACTTAAAAATAAATCCCAAACAATAATAATGGGAGACTTTAATACCCCACTGTCAACATTAGAGAGATCAACAAGACAGAAAGTTAATAAGGATATCCAGGAGTTGAATTCAGCTCTGCACTAAGCAGACCTAATAGACATTTACAGAACTCTCCACCCCAAATCAACAGAATATACATTCTTCTCAGTACCACATCGCACTAATTCCAAAATTGACCACATAGTTGGAAGCACTCCTCGGCAAATGTAAAAGAACAGAAGTAATAACTAACTGTCTCTCAGACCACTGTGCAATCAAATTAGAACTGAGGATTAAGAAACTCACTCAAAACCGCTCAACTACATAGAAACTGAACAACCTGCTCCTGAATGACCACTGGGTACATAATGAAATGAAGGCAGAAATAAAGATGTTCTTTGAAACCAAGGAGAACAAAGACACAAGATACCAGAATCTCTGCGACACATTTAAAGCGTGCGTAGAGGGAAATTAATAGCAGTAAATGCCCACAAGAGAAAAAGAATGAGAGAAGCAAGAGCAAACACATTCAAAAGCCAGCAGAAGGCAAGAAATAACTAAGATCAGAGCAGACCTGAAGGAGATAGAGACACAAAAAACCCTTCAAAAATCAATGAATCCAGGAGCTGGTTTTTTGAAAAGATCAACAAAATTGAGAGACCACTAGCAAGACTAATAAAGAAGAAAAGAAAGAAGAATCAAATAGATGCAATAAAAAATGATAGAGGGAATATCACCACCGATCCCACAGAAATACAAACTGACATCAGAGAATACTATAAACACCTGTGCACAAATAAACTAGAAAATCTAGAAGAAATGGATAAATTCCTGGACACATACACCCTCCCAAGACTAAACCAGGAAGAAGTTGAATCCTTGAATAGACCAATAACGGGCTCTGAAATTGAGTCAGTAATTAATAGCCTACCAACCAAAAAAAGTCCAGGACCAAAAGGATTCACAGCCGAATTCTACCAGAGGTACAAAGAGAAGCTGGTACCATTCCTTCTGAAACTATTCCAATCAACAGAAAAAAGAGAGACTCCTCCCTAACTCATTTTATGAGGCTAGCATCATCCTGATACCAAAGCCTGGCAGAGACATAACAAATAAAAAGGAGAATTTTAGAACAATAACCCTGATGAACATCAAGGCAAAAATCCTCAATAAAATCCTGGCAAACCAAATCCAGCAGCACATCAAAAAGCTTATCCACCAAGATCAAGTTGGCTTCATCCCTGGGATGCAAGGCTGTTTCAACATATGCAAATCAATAAATGTAATCCATCATATAAACAGAACCAAAGACAAAAACCACATGATTATCTCAATAGATGCAGAAAAGGCCTTTGACAAAACTCAATAGCCCTTCATGCTAAAAACTCTCAATAAACTAGGTATTGATGGAACGTATCTAAAAATAATAGCTATTTATGAAAAACCCACAGCCAATATCATACTGAATGGGCAAAAACTGGAAGCATTCCCTTTGAAAACTGGCACAAGACAGGGATGCCCTCCCTCACCACTCCTATTCAACATAGTGTTGGAAGTTCTGGCCAGGGCAATCAGGCAGGAGAAAGAAATAAAGGGTATTCAATTAGGAAAAGAGGAAGTCAAATCATCCCTGTTTGCAGATGACATGATTGTGTATTTAGAAAACCTCATCGTCTGCACCCAAAATCTCCTTAAGCTGGTAAGGAACTTCAGCAAAGCCTCAGGATACAAAATCAATTGTGCAAAAATCACAAGCATTCCTATACGCCAATAACAGACAAACAGAGAGCCAAATCATAAGTAAACTCCCATTCACAATTGCTTCAAAGAGAATAAAATACCCAGGAATCCAACTTACAAGGGATGTGAAGGACCTCTTCAAGGAGAACTACAAACCACTGCTCAATGAAATAAAAGAGGATACAAACAAATGGAAGAACATTCCATGCTCATGGGTAGAAAGACTCAATATCGTGAAAATGGCATCTTCAAGGAGAACTGCAAACCACTGCTTAACGAAATAAAAGAGGAGAGGACACAAACAAATGGAAAAACTTTCCACGCTCATGGATAGGAAGAATCAGTATCGTGATAATGACCATACTGCCCCAGGTAATTTATAGATTCAATGCCATTCCCATCAAGCTACCAATGACTTTCTTCATAGAATCGGAAAAAACTACTTTAAACTTCATATGGAACCAAAAAAGACCCTGCATTTCCAAGACAATGCCAAGCAAAAAGAACAAAGCAAGAGGCATCCCGCTACCTGACTTCAAACTATACTATAAGGCTACAGTAACCAAAACAGCATGATACTGGTACAAAAACTGAGATGTAGACCAATGGAACAGAACAGAGCCCTCACAAACACTACCACACATCTACAACCATCTGATCTTTGACAAACCTGACAAAAACAAGAAATGGGGAAAGGATTCCCTATTTAATAAATGGTGCTGGGAAAACTGGCTAGCCATACGTAGAAAGCTGAAACTGGATCCCTTCCTTGCACCTTATACAAAAATTAATTCAAGATGGATTAAAGACTTAAATGTTAGACCTAAAACCATACAAACCCTAGAAAAAACCTAGGCAATACCATTCAGGACATAGAGGACATAGGCATGGGCAAGGACTTCATGACTAAGACACCAAAAGCAATGGCAACAAAAGGCAAAATTGACAAATGGGATCTAATTAAACTAAAAAGCTTCTGCATAGCAAAAGAAACTACCATCGGAGTGAACAGGCAACCTACAGAATGGGAGAAGATTTTTGCAATCTACCCATCTGACAAAGGGCTAATATCCAGAATCTACAATGAACTTAAACAAATTTACAAGAAAAAATCAAACAACCCCATCAAAAAGTGGACAAAGGATATGAACAGACACTTCTCAAAAGAAGACATTTATGCAGCCAATAGACACATGAAAAAATGCTCATCATCACTGCCCATCAGAGAAACGCAAATCAAAACCACAATGAGATACCATCTTACACCAGTTAGAATGGTGAGCATTAAAAAGTGTGGAAACAACAGATGCTGGCGAGGATATGGAGAAATAGGAACACTTTTACACTGTTGGTGGGATTGGAAACTAGTTCAACCATTGTGGAAGTCAGTGTGGGGATTCCTCAAGGATCTAGAACTAGAAATACCATTTGACTCAACCATCCCATTACTGGGTATATACCCAAAGGATTATAAATCATGCTGCTATAAAGACACATGCACAGGTATGTTTATTGCGGCACTGTTCATAATAGCAAAGACTTGGAACCAACCCAAATGTTCATCAGTGATAGAATGGATTAAGAAAATGTGGCACATATACACCATGGAATACTATGCAGCCATAAAAAAGGATGAGTTCATGTCCTTTGAAGGGACATGGATGAAGCTGGAAGCCATCATTCTCAGCAAACTATCTCAAGGACAGAAAACCAAACACCACATTCTCTCACTCATAGGTGGGAATTGAACAGTGAGAACACTTGGACACAGGGTGGGGAACATCACACACCAGGGCCTGTTGTGGGGGAGGGGGAGGGGTGTGGGATAGCATTAGGAGATGAATCTAATGTAAATGATGAGTTAATGGGTGCGGCACACCAACATGGCACAGGTATACATATGTAACAAACCTGCACGTTGTTCACATGTACCCTAGAACTTAAAGTGTAATAAAAATAAATAAATAAATAAATAAAAATAAAAATAAATCCCTTAGACTAATATTAAAAAATAATTGGATCAATTAATTAAAATTAGTACTTTATTACTTAAATGTATGCTTACTCAGATGTATTGATATAGTAGTATTTACTTTATAACTCATTTGTTTATTTATTTGTAATCATTTGTTTGAAACATACTATAAAACTCACTGCAATTTTAGGTATTTGTAATCTTTTTATAAATTGTTCCTTTCTTTCTAGCTATTTATTTCTGACAGTTTCTAAACTCAAGGAAACTGAATCTTTATTTCTTGCATATGAGATTAGATCTATTTTTCCCTACTTTAAAAGTAGTTGAAGATTGGCCAGGTGCAGCGGCTCACACCTGTAATCCCAGCACTTTGGGAGGCCGAGGTGGGTGGATCACCTGAGGTCAGGGGTTTAACACCAGCCTGGCCAACATGGCGAAACCCAGTCTCTAACTAAAACTAGAAAAATTACCCAAGGGTGGTGGCGGGCGCCTGTAATATCAGCTACTCAGGAGGCTGAGGCAGGGAGAATTTCTTGAACCTGGGAGGCCGAGGTTGCGGTGAGCCAAAATAGTGCCACTGCACTCCAGCCTGAGCAACAGAGTGATACTCCGTTAAAAAAAAAAAAAAAAAAAAAAAAAAAAAGTAGGTGAGGATTAAGATTCCATTTTTATACAACTGCTTGAATAGTGTAATGATCGAGTCAATGAAGTAACTTTGGACTTATTCATTAGAAAAATTATTCTAAAATACTTATGCTTAGAGCAAAAAGAGAAATGAATACCTACATCTGCTATATTGGCTTAGAAAATATTCATTATGTAGATGGGAATAGGGTGGGAAATTGTTGGTAGTATTTTATAAACTTGAATACAATGTAATTGTATTTTTAGATAAATTAGCTGTCTAACATACCAAGTTTAACAACATAATATCATATTACAATATTTAGCATACAGCTTTCTACATTGAAAATAAGTTCATCTGCAAATAAATACAATTTTAATTATTCCTTCCTATCTATATTCCTTTTATTTCCTGCACTAGTTAAGGAGATGTTGAAGGAGAATGAAGAGGGAAAAAAATACTTGAACATTTGATTTGTTCCTAATCTTAAAGGGAAAGTTGCATTCTCTCGCATTTAAGTATAATGTACCTATATGTTTTTGTATACAACCTGGTTTTATGTTAAGGAAGTTTCTTTCTATTTCTAGTATTTTGAGAGTTTATAATCATAAATGGGTGTTTAATTTGGTTGAATGTTTTCTTTGCATCATCTTTTGATTTTTCTTATGCAGTTTATTAACATGATGAATTAAATTTATTTATTTATGAATGTTGAATCATTCTCTTATTCTTGAAACAAATTCCATGTGATTTTAATATGTAACACATACCCTTTCACTATGTTAAATTTGATTCAGTAATATTTTTAAGGATCTTTGCACCTATGTTCATGTGCAATAACATTTGATATTTTTCCTCCAGTTAGAAAAATTTTGATTACTGAAATATGAAAAATATAGTTTTGAATAAATTAACATGATAAATAGTATTACAGTGCAATAATATGATATATTAATCAATTTAATTTCCACAAAATTAGATTTTTGTAGAATATATGCATAAAACTGTATAACTCAAGTAATTTAATGTGTCTGTTATTTTAGAACACTGTATTTTTTTATTTTTATTTTTTTAGACACGGGATTTCACCGCGTTAGCCAGGCTGGTCTCGAGCTCCTGACCTCAGGTGATCCACCCACCTCAGCCTGCCAAAGTGCTGGATTACAGACGTGAGCCACCACTCCCAGCCTCATTTTAGAACACTGTATTTTGTATATTGTTCATGTGTGTTGATTGCAGAGTAATGTAAAATAAAATTTTAGGGTAGGGTGACATGATTTGGTCAAGCATTACTATGTGGGAACAAATATCATTGGTCTGGAGTCAAAATCCTTAAAGTGTGAATCCTGACTCCGACATTGTATGAACCTAGGAAAATTCTTTAATGTCTCATGAAGAGAATAGAAAAGTAATGCTATTTTACTCATAGGATTGTACTGAGATTATATACCACAACATATTTAAAACAGCTAGCATGATCATTTTTCAATGTCTACATGTGTTAAAACATCACATCACACCCCATAAATATATACAATTATTATTCATCAATTAAAAATAAAACAGGGTCAGGCGTGGTGACCCATGTCTGTAATCTCAGCACTTCAGGAGGCCAAGGCAGGAAGATTGCTTGAGGCCAGGAATTTGAAACCAGCTAGGCAATGTAGCGAGATCTCATCTCTCCAAAAAAACTAACTAACTAAATAAAACAGCCAGGGGTGGTGGCACTTGCCTGTAGTCCCAGTTACTCCAGAGACTGAAGTGAGAGTTTCCCTTGAGGACAGAGTTTTATGCTTCAGGGAGCTATGAATGCCACTGCACTTCAGCCTGGGCAACAAAGTGAAACCATGTCTCTAAAATGAATAAATGAATAAATGAATGAATGAATGAATACATAAATAAAACAAAACTTTTTAAAAGCTAGCGTGAGTTCTGACACATAAAAATGTATGTTCATTTATTCCGCAACAATTTATTGAATGTCTGTTTTCTGTGATAGCTATTAGGCATAAATTAGAATCAAAGGAAACATTCTCCTAGCCCTAAAAACGATAATAATCAGCAATTACTAAAAGAATAATTTGATGAATTAATGTTTATGGCAATTAATCAACATCTTTTGTGATTTGATTGAACGGATGCTTGGCAGAAACTTAGAAGACCTAGTCTTTCCTCAAGGTTTCAGTAATTCACTGAGTGACCACAAGGTTAAAAACCTGCATTTTTGGTTAGTAACTTAGAAATATGTTGAACTGTTTGAGATGTTGCTTTATGATATATATTGTCTTTCTTCTAATATGGGTAAGACATATATTTTAAGGAATGAGCTCTAGGGTTTTTTTTGTATTTTGATACTTTATTATTATAATTGCCTAACAAGCAATTAACACAACTAAATCTTGACACTTGAAAATGACAAGTTTGAGTTATCTGTATTTTAAACAAATATATTGAACTAATTATAAATTCTCTGAGAGCCTGATGTTTCAATAAAACTTGAAAAAAAACCCTGAATATCTGAACATTTAGTACACCTGGAGGGTCAACTAAGGTAATTCTGTTGCTATGTATTCTTTAACATTCTTTTATTCTGTAAAGCTTGAATCTTGACATTTTCAACTAATACTGATAAGCTTAATTTTATAATTATGATAATACATTTAATAGTACATATTTTTATATAAGAATGGGAGGCCGAGGCAGACAGATTTCCTGAGGTCAGGAGTTTGAGACCAGCCCGCCCAACATGGCAAAAACCCGTCTCTACTAAAAATCAAAAAATTAGCCAGGCGTGGTGTCAGGTGCCTGTAATCCCAGCTACTCGGGAGGCTGAGGCAGGAGAATCGCTTGAAGCCGGGAGGTGGAGGTTGCAATGAGCCAAGATCCTGCCATTGCACTCCAGCCTGGGCACCAAGAGCAAAACTCCATCTCAAAAAAAAAAAAAAAAAGAAAACCCAACACATAAGGAGACCTAGACAGTCAGATATAGATAAAGAAACTCATGCTAAAGGATATAGTGACATAACCAAGATTACAAATATATAACATGCCTTTGCATCAGAATTTCAGGTGGACTTTTATCTGCAAGTTTTCAGGTGAACCAGTCTTTTATTTTGCTTCCTCCCCATCTTCCAGCTTTTTAAAGTTCAGTGTTTTGCCACACTTGTTTCAGTTGGCTATACAGTAAAAATGATTACAAATACAGCCATAGTTCTGTGTTCCATTGCCTTACATATCATGATTATATGGTTTATTAACCCTATGCATGTTTTATACTATTACATATAAATATATACTTATATTTTGAATATTTTACAACACTTTATATATACTATTGTACTTCCAAATTGTTTTACTTCCAAAAACTTGTTTGTGAAGATTATTTATTTTTATATATGTATCTATAGTTCATTAGTTTTGCTGCTGTAAACCATTACGTTTATATGTGCTAAGCAGCAGGAGTAAGTGGAGATGTTGCTACCAGTATATTGATCACCAATGGATGACTGCACATAGCAGTAATGCATTAGACAAGAAACAAGTTGTTTTTCTGCATTAGATGTGAGTTGTCAGGGCAAGTAAAACAATGACAGCACCTCCAGGTGACAGTAGAAATAAGAAAGCTATTGATTTTATAACATCTTTAAAATCAGGAATAAATCATTGTTTCATGAACAAAGAGACATGTTTATTTCAAATTTGGGATTTTTATATGATTTATATGTCATTAACATGATACGCTCTACTTTCCAAACTTGCAATTTTAGTGGCCAAGTAGAGACTTCTAGTTCAACATAACTACAGCAGATAAATTCTATTACCCACATTTTTTAATGTTTAAAAAGAAAGAGCAAAGAAACATAATTGTAACAGATAAGCATGACATGCTGAAATGATGAAAGAATGTTGCCCACAGAGATGCCGTTTTTAATTATTTCTGTAAACTGTCATAATTGTATGGAGTAAGCAGGCTGAACAATTGCATAAAAACAAATAAAAAATCCACGAAGACAGGTTGGTCTTGGCATTAGAGGATAAGTTAAATCCTCAGGAAATGTATGATGTCCAATACAATCTGAATAGAAATTCAAAATAGAGATAGAAGAAAAACAACAAAAATAAGTATGGACAATTATCAAAGAACTAAAAGTAGAATTCATTTCAACCCATTCAATCCAGTAATCCTATTACTGGGTATATACCCAAGGGAAAAAATCATTACATCAGAGATAACAATCATGTATTTTATCAGGGCATTATTCACAAGAGCAAAGATATGGAATCAACCTAATTTTCC
Source organism: Homo sapiens (assembly GCF_000001405.40). Taxonomy (NCBI): domain Eukaryota; kingdom Metazoa; phylum Chordata; class Mammalia; order Primates; family Hominidae; genus Homo; species Homo sapiens. The sequence goes on from NC_000004.12 coordinate 115,908,717, forward strand.
ATCAATGGATGATTGGACAAAGAAATGTGGCATATATATATATATATAAATATATATATAAACATATATATAAATATATATAAACATATATATAAATATATATATAAACATATATAAAAATATATATAAACATATATATAAATATATATAATTAAATATTACAAAATAATGAAATCATGTTGTATTATGCTGTTCTTACTTTACTGTAAAGAAATACCTGAGACAGGTAATTTAAAAAGAAAATAGGTATAATTAGCCCATGGTTCTGCAGGCTATACAGGAAGCATGGTCCTGACATCTGCTGAGCTTCTGGGGATGAGGGTGGGAGGCTCAGGAAACTTATAATCATGGTGAAAAGTGAAGTCAGGGCAGAAATGTCACATGGTGAAAGCAGAAGAGAGAGAGAGGATTTCATGAGAATTGACTCACAATTGTAAGGACAGCACCAAGGAGATGGTGATAAACCATGGATGAGAAATCAGGCCCCATGATCTAATCACCTCCCACCAGGCCTCACCTCGAACAGTGGGGATTATATTTCAACATGAGATTTGATAGGGAAAAAAAATCCAAACTATATCGTGCGTCTTTTGCAACAACATGGAAGGAACTTGTATTAATCCATTTTCACACTGCTATGAAGATACTACCTGAGACTGAGTAATTTATAAACAAAAGAGGTTTAATTGACTCACAGTTCCACATGTCTTGGGAGACCTCAGGGAACTTACACTCATAGCAGAAGGTGAAAGGGAAGCAGGAACTTTCTTCCAAGGCAGCAGGAGACAGAGAGAGCAAAAGGGGAACAGCCAAACACTTTGAAAACCATCAATTCTGTGAGAACTCACTATCATGAGAACAGTATGGGGGAAGCTGTCCCCATGATTTAATCCCCTCCCATCAACTCCTTCCCCTGACGTGTAGGGATTATAATTTGAGATGAGATTTTGGTGGGAACACAGAGGCAAGCTATATTATTCGGTCCCTGGTCCTTCCCAAATCTCACAGCATTCTCACATTTCAAAACCAATCATGCCTTCACGACAATCCCCCAAGGTCTTACTTATTCCAGTATTAATTCAAGGGTCCAAGTCTAAAGTTTCATCTGAGACAAGGTAAGTCCCTTCTGCCTATTAGCCTATAAAATAAAAAGCAAGTTAGTTACTTCAAAGATACAACAGGCATTAGGTACATGTTCTCTTCCAAATGGGAGAAATTGGCCAAAACAAAGGGGTTACAGGTCCCATGCAAGTCTGAAACCCAACAGGGCACTCATTAAATCTTAAAGCTTCAAAATAATCTCCTTTGACTCCATGTCTCACATCCAGGGCACGTTCATCACCCCAAGGCCTTGGGCAGCTCTACCCCTGTAGCTCTGCAAGGTACAGTCCCTGTGGCTGCTTTCTTGGGCTCACACTTGAGTGCCTGTGGCTTTTCCAAGCACACGTGCAAGCTGTTGGTGGATCAAGTATTCTGCGGTCTGGAGGATGGTGGCCCTCTTCTCATAGCTCCACTAGGCAGTGCCCCCATGGGGACTCTGTGTGGGGGCGCCATATCCACATTTTCCTTCCTCACTGCCTTAGAACGGGTTCTCCATGATAGCCCTGCCCTTGCAGCAGACTTCTGCCTGGACATCTAAGCATTTCCATACATTCTCTGAAATCTAGATGCAGGCTCCCAAAGCACAACCTTTGTCATCTGCACACCCACAGGCTCAACACCACATGTAAGCTGCCAAGGAATGGGGCCTGCACCCTCTGAAGCAGGAGCATGAGTTGTATGTTGACCCCTTTTAGCAATGGTTAGAGTTGAAGCACCTGGTACACAGGGCATGGAGTCCCAAGGCTGCACAGAGCAGTGGGGTCCTGGACCTGACCCACAAAACCATGTTTCCCTCCTAGGCTTCCAGGACTATGATGGGAGGGGCTGTTGTGAGGTTTCTGACTTACCCTGGGAGACATTTCCTCCTTTGTCTAACTATTAACATTTGACTCCTTGTTACTTATGCAAATTTCTGCAGCTGGCTTGAATTTCTCCCCAGAAAATGGGTTTTTCTTTCTACCACATGATCAGTCTGCAAATTTTCTAAACCTTTATGCTCTGCTTCCCTATTAAACATAAGTTCCAATTTCAAACCATCTTTTTGTGAATATATATAACTGAATGCTTTCAGAATAAGCCAGGTCACCTCTTGAATGTTTTGGTGCTTAGAAATTTCTTCCACTAGATACCCTAAATCATTTCTCACAAGTTCAAAGTTTCCTGGATCTCTAGGGTAGGAGAAAAATGCTGTCAGTCTCTTTGCTAAAGCATAGCAACAGTGACCTTTGCTCCAGTTCCCAATCAGTTCTTCATTTCTATCTGAGACCACCTTAGCCTGGACTTCATTCATATCACTATCTGCATTTTGGTCAAAACCATTCAACAAGTCTCTAGGAAGTTCCAAACTTTCCCACTTCTTCCTGTCTTCTTCTGAGCCCTCCAAACTCTTCCAACCTCTGCTGTTATCCAGTTTCAATGTTGCCTCCATATTTTCAGGTTATCTTTATAGCAGTACCCCATTCCTGGTACCAGTTTCCAGTGTTAGTCTGTTTTCACACTGCTATAATGATACTACCTAAGAATGAGTAATTAAAAAAGAAAAAAAAAGAGGTTTAATGGACTCACAGTTTCACATGGCTGGGAAGGCCTCAGGAAATTTACAATCATGGCAGAAAGCAAAGGGAAGCAGGCACCTTCTTCCAAGGCTGCAGGAGAGAGAGTGCAGGAAGAACAGCCAAACACTTTTAAAACCATCAGCTCTCATGAGAACTCACTCACTGTCATGAGAACAGCATGGGGGGATCCATCTCCCCGATTCAATCGCTTCCCACCAAGTCCATCCCCTGACACATGGAGATAACAATTTGAAATGAAATTTGGGTAGGGACACAGAGCAAACCATATTAGAGCTGGAGGCCATTATCTTACGTAAAACAAGTCAGATAGAAAAAATAAATATGGCATGTTCTCACTCATAAATGGGAGCTAAATAATGTGTACACAAGGATGTAGAGAGTGGAATGAGAGATGATGGAGACTTGGAAAAGTAATGGGGTGGGAAGGACTTGGTGGATGAAAAAGCACTTAATAAGTTCAGTATACATCATTTGGGTGACGGATATCTTAAAAGCCTTGACTTCACTACTATGCAATCCATGAATGTAGGAAAACTGAACTTGAATCCCATTAAATGTATACAAAGTAAAAAATCAATTTACATGAATGAAAATGTAGAAAACATATACAAATCAATGTGATCTGGTAAAAATATACAAATAAAAATCTGTGTGAGGTGTGTTGGGTTATTACAAAGTAATATATAAGATTAGTTTTGGCTTTTTCTACCAGAATACATGCATAAAAGGAAATTGAACAAATTCTGGAAAGCATAAGGATCAGATTTTGGCCAAAGTTTTATTTAAACAGTCAAATTCTTGGTGTGATAACAGACAGAAATAGAAAAAAAAATAAAGGTGAAGAAAAATATAAAACCAAGATAAAGGATTTGTTGTTTTCAATTGTCTTCTTCAGGTGGCTGTAAGGAAGAGCAGTCCAGATTGACCCAGGGTTTTCCTAGGTTAAATGAAGAGAATAGGAATAGGTACTTTGTCCATCATATTTTATTAGAAACTCTAGGTTCTTCATTAATATTATTTGTTAAACATGGGGTCATTTGACAGACTACTCTTTATCCAAACACTTTCACTTGAACCTTTTTTTTTATAATTGTTTCCATAGTGTGACATGAGTGAGTGAGTGTAAAACCGATGGGAACCAATATTAAGAGAATTGACATAGTCATTAATCTGGGGAGAACTTTTTTTTATAGATGTGGCTTTTATGTCCCAGAGAAATAAATGGGCATTAATTAAATCAAAAATGTAAGAAAGATATTGAAGTCAATGGGAAAGGCATGCAAAAAAACTCTCTGATAGGTGAATTTTCTTAAACAAAAATGAGGCTGTGGTGGGACGTTTTTGTGTATCATGGGATCAGAAATTTTCAGAGCTACAGAAACCTTGAAGAGAATTTACTCCAACTTCCTAATTTTCCTAAATTGAAATACCGACAGCCAGACAATTAAGAATTCTGTCTTAGATCACATAGGGAAAACAGAAATACAATAATAATTACATTTAGGTTTCCTGATTTCAAGTTTAATATCTTTATAATCTCAACACAGTGAAGATCAGCAGGTGACTTATGTTTTCTTCATCTGTGTAGGGCTGATTTCTTACATGATTTTTCTTTTTAAATTCTGAAATTAAGTATTTTTGTTAAGTATGATCTTATTGTGTTAAAAGGGAAATTTTAATTCAATGTTTATTTTGTAGAAATACCTAATTTTCATTAAATATTAATTACTGGATGAAAATGATCACCTCTTCTTCCAGCTTCTAAAGCATAAGGTTTGTTAGTGCTACACAGCTGTAGAAATTTAAATAACTGGCATGTGGAGACAGGGTGAAGTTTAGCCTTTTCAAGCAGGTTTTTTTTTTCTCTTAGCACTGACATATTGTCTCATCAACACATCTAGGAGCTTCTATTTTTGAAATGCTTCACTTATCACCTGTGGAGTGTTGAAATGGAACCTATTTTTTCCCCAAAGAGAACATTCTTTAGCAAAGACAGATTGTCTCTTCTGCATTAAGGAACTGTCCCTCATGAAATACTCTATTGAGACAAGCTCATGCTTTCTGCCTACAAAACTTGATTTTTAAAAAATCGAACTTTTTCTTAATCCTTGAATGATAATTTACATTAGAAGCAAATAATTTAACTCTTTGGATATACATTTCTTACAAATTATAATTTTTTACTTAAGACAATGTCATATTTCACAAAAAGATGACTTAAGAGAGATGGGAAATGTACAAACAAACTGACGATTGAGACTGCAGGTAAAACTTTCCTTGGGTAGTTAGTGTCCCCACCAACCCCAGGCCAAAAATAAATTTCATTAGAGATTTTGTACCACATAAAGGAATTATGTTAAATTTGAGGGAGGTACAAATGGCAAGACTCTGGACGAACTCTAGCAACAGATGAAATCTAGCAAGGGGAGTTGCCGTCTCTTGGCATGGAAATGGCCTGAAGTAAAGCACAGCTGCTAGTCAGGAGCAAGCTCAGGCTCTGACAGCAGAGTCCAGGCTCAAATCTCAGATGAACTTTCTCCTGCCTGGTCACATTGTACTAGTCACTCTACCACTAAAATTCTCAGTGTATGTGTTTGTGTTTATATACAAAATGAGAAGAATAATGGCAAATAACCTGGTGATTTGGGGAGCATTGAATGTGCTTCGGGATATAATATGCTTAGCATATACTGCTTAGAAAGAAGTAAAATGTTCATATGTCTTTGTAAAACATAAACTTTTTATTGAAGTATAATATTCATTCAGAAAGGTGCTGAAGTTATACTTTAAAAGCTCAATATATTTTGACCAAATCAATTCTGTGTAATCAGTCATGTAACCAACATTCAGATGAAAACATCAAACATTCCCAGAAATCCCTAAACCTCCTTTCTACCCTTTTTGAGTCATTAACTGTGCAAGGATAAATGCTATCCTTATGTGTAACTCTATGAACTTATTTTGACTGTGTTTGTTTATATAGATGAAGTCATGCAATATGTACTCTTCCATGTCTTACTTTTTTTATTCAATATTTCTGATAGGTACTCTAGAAATAATTTTTAGTTAATTAGATGGGAGACGGGGCTAACAAATAGATAAATGTGGTTGTTTCTTTGTCAATAGGGATGGACATCAAATTCTTCCATTTTCTCCTTACCACCTACAGATAAAACAGCAATATCTACCAAAATTTATAAATGTAAGCACATAATTTTACACAGCAACTAAATTATTTCTAAAAAGAAAAAAATATGTAACGATAAAATCCAGCCACCTAAGAGAATGAACAAAGCAACTTTAGTTAAAGCATCAAATGTGGGCCTCACATTTAAAATTATGCCTAAACAATTGACTAAAAACATAAATGTTACAAATCCTGTTAGTGTGAATATAGGAAGTTGAGAAATAACAATTAGAAGGTAGAGAAGGAAAGGAATGCTAGTGGAATAATTTCATTTCTCTTATTCATTATAATACTAATCATGTGAATTTGTTAAAGCAAATTAAAAAAGGTTTTATTATTTTATATAAAATCAAAATAAGTAATTAGACAACTTAAAATAACAATATGAATATTAAATATTAGGAAGTAAGCAGGGAAAGTACTTAACTTCTCTCAACATATTTATATTTCCTATTTACAATTATTTAAGTTTTTATTTCTCCATTTCTGATTTCTGTTTCATATAAGTTTTTCATAACTTCTTTAGTTTATTTGCTGTATTTCATACTAAATATTTCAGCATTTTTATAGTGACTTCTTTTATAATTATTATAATAAAACAGATCAATTTTTATAATTTGTGGGTACCCTACTGTTTCTTACAGCTCACTATTCTCAACTTTTATTTTTACTCAAATGTACAATGAGTATTTTGTTTTGAGAGTTTTAGAATAATAAGCAACATTAGATGTACTAGAGAGTCATATTTTAAAAGATGATTCTGAGTTGAGACACTATGTTCACCTTCTGGCTTGATTACTTATTAGCTCCATGACTGAGAGCAAATTACTTAAAGTTTCTCTGTACTTCGATATTTCTTCTTTTCATTTGCCAAATGGGGACAATTATATCAGAGTATCTCAAGCTATACTTTATATTTCTTAAATGTTGTCTGTATGTCCTTTGAGATGTATAAATGTTTCCAGATTTGAGTTTAGGTCTATTTTAGTTGTCTGTGTGTGTTTTATTCACTCTACTCCTTTTGTAATGGGATGGTATAGCTTGTAATTTTCAAAATATATGGCTATCAATGGTGATTTAAGTATAGATATAAGCAATGATGTAGATGTACATAAATGTATAGATATATATTCCAATGTAGTCAATATGTTTTTTACAGATATTTATTCTTGTTTTACATTTACTTTTTTTTATTTCATGTTGCCATTTTCTGTCTTAGTCATCCCTGATTTATATTTTTGGGCACCCCAATTAAATGTATTTTAAAATTGTCTTTAGCTTAGTAATCTGAATAGAAATTATGTGGTGATCATTTATTTATTTACAATATTGACTTTCTTATTAACATTAGATTTTTTCATTAGATAAGACAATTTATAAGTTTATTTTTAATGAAAGAAGTTGCCATTGCTGTTATTTCTCTCTGAAAGCGTTGTGTAGTTGCTCCCTCTAAATACCCAATGCAGACTAGGTGTTGTAATGCCAGTTAGTGTTTTTATCCCTGTATGATATTGGAGTATTATGCATCCAGTTAATGAGCTAGTACTCAGTACTGGTTTATGTGTGGCCAGATTCATTTTTTTTTCTTATTTCTATCTCGTTTTTCATTTCAGATCATCATTTCAATCTGGCAGTGCCCCCAGCCTCCTCCAGCTCCTCCTTCCCCCATCTTTTTTTCATCAGCATATTTCTTCAATAATTCTCTTAGTCTTTTTTTTTTTAGACAGAGTTTTGCTCTTGTTGCTCTCGTTGCCCAGGCTGGAGTGCAGTGCCATGATCTCAGCTCACCGCAACTTCCACCTCCAGGTTCAAACGATTCTCCTATCTCAGCCTCCTGAGTAGCTGGGGTTACAGGCATGTGCCACCACACCCGGCTAATTTTTTTTTGTATTTTTAGTAGAGACGAGGTTTCTCCATGTTGCTCAGGCTGGTCTCGAACTTCCGACCTCAGGTGATCTGCCCACCTCGGCCTCCCAAAGTGCTGGGATTACAGGCATGAGCTACCACGACCGGCCAATTCTCTTACTCTTCTAATTTCGCTTTGAATTCTGCTTCACATAAGACCAGGACTAACCCACTGGACAGCCCTTCTAAGGCAAGGCCAAGTGACTGTACTTTGCACTTTCTAAAGAATAATAGTGATTGTCAGGCCTCTTTGGTTTTGGATGCAAGATGTATTATTGCACTTGAGACTAATAGCTTGATGCACTTCACAGATTATGTAGAAGGATGCCATTTTTGAATGGAAAGAAGAGGAATAGATGGCTTTCTGGAAAGTCCTGACTGTCATATAGATGCTTACAAATATAGCTTAACTACTACACAGATCTTGTGGTGCTAGATGAATCTGTGGTAGATAAGGTAGTCTTCGTTTTTTGTTTTTGTTTTTTTGGCTTTAGAGATATGGTCTCACGATGTCGCCAAAGCTGGAGTGCCGTGGCTATTCACAGGTGCAATCATCACAGCACAGTACAGCCTCAAACTCCTAGTCTCAAAGAATCCTCCCACCTCAGCCTCCCAAACAGCTGGGACTATCAGCACATGCTGCTGCACCTACTCAAAGCTGTCTTTCCCTCAACTGACACCTATAACCTCATAGAAGATACTTTATGGGTCAACTGTTAGAGGAGAAAAAAATAAACCAAGTCTGATTCATGCATCATGTATTCATGTGTTCATGTATGGATCAATTCAATGTGTTTGCACAAGCTGAAAACCAACTTCTAGTACACTAAACATTCACACATTTGTGCCCTGAGAGGAATGCTGTCAGGGTAAATCCCCCCAGTGTGCAGCAATGGTCATCCACTTCATGTGGGTCAAGTTCTGCCTGCCTAAGGTTTGGTTACATATGGACTCCTACACTATGACAAATGTGGCTGGTTGTTCAGGGGTCTGGAAGGAGTGAGATTTATAAATTTTTGACAACCAGATATGGAGGATAAGAAGAGGCATGAACATGGATCTATGAGAGAGTATTAAGTGACTGCTGTTCCTGAGTGTTAGATGTATCAGGAGGAGAGATAGTATAGAGCCGTGCTATAATACTATCCCTCAAAATAATCAACTGGGACATATGTGACAATTGGATTATGTCAAACACCATCCACCTAAAACATATTGTAAATAGTCTTTACTGGGACTCAAGCATATTTGCAATGTAGATTTGTTTTTCTGGCTCACAGTGTCTTTACTAGCACTGGTATCTAAATGCCCACAGTCTCTGATTTACTGACATTAAATTGCACATGACATTGTCTCTGACCAAGTGATTCACTGTGTGGCCAAAAAGATGTGAAAATTGGTACGTGACAATGGGAAGTACTGGTTATACCACTTACTGAACTATCTAAAATTTGCTAATCTTGCAGTCCAGGAAACTAGTCCCGTAATACCTCATATAAAGTGTCAATTTGGTGAGAAATCCTGTGAAGTTGGTGTACTGTCCATTAGGATGCAGTGTGTATTATAGACGAATGATATTTTGTGCTCAAAGGGAAAAACGCATGTATCCAGAAATTACTGGTGAGTGAACACAGCAGTGGGCCACTCACCGTCACTCCCAGTGTTTGTGCTTTCTACTTTTGAAACTCAAAGTTCTATCAGTCCAGAGATCTTCATTCCAGTGAGGGAAGTTTCCACTCAAGTTATAGTAGGCATTTCACTAAACTTAAGCTCCTCTGCTGCTAGGTTATTTTGTTTTTCTCATGTCAGGAAGGAAGTAGGGAAAGAGGAACTATCTTGCTCATAGGGTAATTAACCTTGTTCATCATGAAGATGAATGGGGGCAACTGGTTTGTGCATTAGGGCCAATCATAGTATGCCATGGCCCATTTCAGCTCTAAATAGGAAATTACAACAACCATGCCCTAAATAAAATTATGAAAACCAGTATATTATGCAACAAAGTAAGCCACTTAGACAAGAAGTGCTGGTTGAGGCAAGGGAAATCTAAAATGGGTGAAAGAGGGAGGAAAAAAATAAATATAGCCTTGGCACCAACCATAACAGCAGGGCTTTTGTGTATCTCATTAACCTCTGCTTTTATATTTTTCCACTGAATTATGATGAATCACCACCTCGGAAAAAAAACAGAGTTTGGTTGGAATACACTTAATGTAAAACATAATGGGACGTCACCAGTGCAAGGGATTCCTGAAGCAGATATATGAAATTCTTAACCCAGGTCACTTCATCTCTGCTCTACTATTGCTCTGCTTCTAATTGTGAGCACCTGTGACTCTCCTGCGGCCTGTCTTCAAGCTGCTTTTTCCTCATGCATAAACTGTTGCAGCTTCCTAAGAATTTACATCTTCCAGGTGTGGTCTTCAATAGACGACTGACTACTGTAGCAGTATAAAAGCTTATTTCCTTAGCTTGAGTATGAAAAAAAAAAACACACATATGGGTCTTAATTTACCTTCCAGACTTCCCCTGCAAAGTCAGGCTGAAGCTACACTTCATGGAACTTTGATTAAAATCACCCCCATGCTGGGCTTTGTCCCCTTGCCTGTCCTGCTTTCTTCACTACCTTACTGGTTTCCTACTTGCACATAAATTCTTCTCAAGATGTGTTTCCAGCAACTGCACCCTAAGATTACTTCTTACAATGTGCACAATTATGGAGATACAATTTCGAACAAGACAAACATGATCCTTCTCTTACTAGAGCTCATTTCATAATAGGTCTTAACAGTTAATTATGGATTTTAGTAATTTTAATGTAGGTCAGAAACAGCCAACTGCAGTGACTAATTACTGGGGCATTTTTAGATCAAATGATCAAAATCTGACAGTCTCATCTCTGTCTGTTCCTCTGCCACCAAGGTGCAGACTGTTGCTGTATTCACTTCTAGCACAAAGCAGTGAGTGTGAACTTGGAGCACCAAGATGTGTAGAGTCCTTTTTAAATAACTATTCTTTCATTCTTAGTGGAATGCACGTACTAATTCTCTGAAGATAAATTATAGTTACGCCCTACCCAGAAACACTTCACGGTCTCTCACCTAAGACCACTGGAGGCAGACTCTTATAATTTAGAAATTATATCCACATACAAGGAATATAACATATCAAATTAACTTGTCATATCAAATTAACATAAATTTGATATGACAACAAGTAATCACCAATCTAGTAAAAAACTGTAGACAATGACAGAAAAGTGACATTGCTTATCAACATGACGAAATGAAAAGAGCAAGGAAACTCCATTACAACAAAATACCCTAACAGGGTGGGAAAACATACAGCAGGAAAAAAACAATTTGGAAAAGAAAACATAGCTATATCAATATAAAGTACTTATACCATTTTATTAGAACCAATAGAAGAATTACTGTGTAGTGCCACAAGAATGATTAAGCAAGCAATCAAGAAGATATTATATGAATAAACTTGTAAGTCTGAAAAAACATAGTCACAAAATGTATAAAGTGGAAAGATAACTATATAGTTAATCATGGTATAATTTCTTACCCAAAAAAGAAAATAAAACAAACTATATTTTACAACACACACACACATACACACACAAATACACGCAGACACACACAAATCTAATTATTTCATTACAAAATGTGAAAATGAAACTTTAAATTATTTGAATAAAAATATTTAAAAACTATATTCTTAATTTGAGGATATAAAATAAATTTTTAAGCAACACACAAACAGCAAACCTACATAGACAATACATTTAAGTTTAATATTATTTAAAATTACACATAGTGATCTGTACATCATAAACAAATAGAACAGATGAAAATGTAGTTACAGATGGGGAGCTATAAGGGATTTGCTGACCCTGGGTATCCATGAGGGATTGGTTGTAGGACTCCCATAGATACCAAAATTCATGGATGCTCAAGTCCCTGATATAAAATGGCATCGTATTTGCATGAAACCTACACACATTCTCCCGTATATTTTAAATCAACTCTAGATCACTTATGATACTTAATACAATGTAGATGTTATGAAAATAGTTGTATCTTTTGGAGAATAATAATGAGAAAAAAGAAGTCTGTGCATGTTCTGTACAGACACAACCATCCATTAAAAAAATATTTTCTGGTCGTTGGGAAAGCCTGAGTCCTGTCCTCTCGCTCTCCTCCCGGAACAGCATGAGCTTCACCACTCGCTCCACCTTCTCCACCAACTACTGGTCCCTGGGCTCTGTCCAGGCACCCAGCTAGGCGCCGGTCAGCAGAGCGGCCAGCATCTATGCAGACCCTAGGGGCTCTGGTTCCCAGATCTCCGTGTCCCGCTCCACCAGCTTCCAGGCGGCGGTCCTGACGGCGGGGATGGCCGGGGGTCTGGCAGGAGTGGGAGGCGTCCAGAACGAGAAGGAGACCATGCAAAGCCTGAACGATTGCCTGGCCTCCTACCTGGACAGAGAGAGGAGCCTGGAGACCGTGAACTGGAAGCTGGAGAGCAAAATCCAGGAGCACCTGGAGAACAAGGGACCGCAGGTCAGAGACTGGAGCCATTACCTCAAGACCATCGAAGACCTGAGGGCTCAGATCTTCGCAAATACCGTGGACAATCCCCGCATCGTTTTGCAGATTGACAATGCCCATCTTGCTGGTGATGACTTTAGGGTCAAGTATGAGACAGAGCTGGCCATGCACCAGTCTGTAGAGAGCAACATACATGGGCTCCGCAAGGTCACTGATGACACAAATGTCACTCAGCTGCAGCTGCAGACAGAGATCGAGCCTCTCAAGGAGGAGCTGCTCTTCATGAAGAAGCACGAAGAGGAAGTAAAAGGTCTACAAGCCCAGATTGCCAGCTCTGGGTTGACCATGGAGGTAGATGCCCCCAAATCTCAGGACCTCGCCAAGATCATGGCAGACATCCGGGACCAATATGATGAGCTGGCTCGGAAGAACCGAGAGGACCTGGACAAGTACTGGTCTCAGTAGATTGAGGAGAGCACCACAGTGGTCACCACGCAGTCTGTCGAGGTTGCAGCTGCTGAGATGATGCTCATGGAGCTGAGACGTACAGTCCAGTCCTTGGAGACTGACCTGGACTCCATGAGAAATCTGAAGGCCAGCTTGGAGAACAGCCTGAGGGACCTGGAGGCCCGCTACACCCTGCAGATGGAGCAGCTCAACGGGATCCTGCTGCACCTGGAGTCAGAGCTGGCACAGACCCAGGCAGAGAGACAGCGTCAGGCCCAGGAGTAAGAGGCCCTGCTGAACATCAAGCTCAAGCTGGAGGCTGAGATCACCAGCTACCGCTGCCCACTGGAAGATGGCGAGGACTTCAATCTTGGTGATGCCCTGGACAGCAGCAACTCCATGCAAACAATCCAAAAGACCACCACCTGCCAGATAGTGAATGGTAAAGTGGTGTCTGAGACCAACGACATCAAAGTTCTGAGACATTAAGTCAGCAGGAGCAGGGTACCCTTTGTGGAGCAGGATGCCAGTAAAAAGTTCAGAGGAAAAAAAATTTCTGTCTGCTGTAGGTTGAATCTGGGAATGTAGAAGATGAATGTAGAAGATAACTATCACTGACGGAGACGGCTGATTATATTTCCAAAGCCTGTGCAAATAACACAAAGAAACTCATTAGATCAATAAAAGGTTAAAAGCGGTGGCGGGCGCCTGTAATCCCAGCTGCTCGGGAGGCTGAGGCAGGAGAATGGCGTGAAGCCGGGAGGCAGAGGTTGCAGTGAGCCGAGATAGCGACACTGCAGTCTGGCCTGAGCAAAAGAGCGAGACTCTGTCTCAAAAAAAAAAAAAATAAAATAAATAAAAAAAAACAAAAATCGGCCTAATATGCTGAGACACTTAGCAGAAGAGAAAAAGAGAAGGCCATATATATACATGTATATATATATACATACACATATATATACATATATATACATGTATACATGTATATATATGTATATATATGTGTATGTATATATATGTGTATATATATATGTATATATATATAAAAGAAGTTTTTCTTCCTAGGAATTATGTGAATAAATATGCAAATGTACTCAACATATCATTATAACCATTAGATTGGCAAAAGTTAAAGTGTGAGCAAATTACACTTTGATAGTGATATGCAGAAATGAGAATTCTCATATACCCACTGTAGACAACAACTGTGCACTATTAACAAATCTATAAGTTGTACCAACCTTATCACATATGTACAAGAGAAAAAGACCTGTGCATATTTTCTTTACCCATTGTTTATAACAGTTACGACCTGCAAAAGAATCATATTCATTGCCAGGAGAAGAGATAAATGATTAGTGTCTATGTCTACATTAAGAAATAACATGTATAGTCAGTCCCTAGGGAATTTCACAAAGATACATATATAAGAATATACATAGTATTATTTTATAATAGCAAAAATTTAGGCCCTATATATATGTTTTTAATAGAATGTTTTAAGTTTATAATTGATGCATAAAAATTATCCATATTTGTGGGGTACAATGTGATGTTTTAATGCATGTATACATAGTATAAAAATCAAATCAGGGTAATTGCAACATCTATTTTAAACATTTAACATTTTCTTGTTGTGACAACATTCAAATTCTTTTCTAGCCATCTTCTTGAAATATATAATAATAAACCATTATTTGCTATAGTCACCCTACTTTATAATAGAACAAAAAAAGTTATTCTTCCTGTCAAACAGTAGCTTTGTAGCCAATGACCAACCTCTTCCAATCCCCCTATCCCCACTACACTCCCCAGCTTCTGGTAACCACTCCAATTTCACTACTTCTATGAAATTGACTTTCTGAGGTTCCACATATGAGTCAGATCATGCTGTATTTGTCTTTCTGTGCTTGGCTTATCCCACTTAGCATAACGTCCTCTAGGTTCATCCATGTTGCTGCAAATGACAGGATTTTATTCTGTCTTATGATTGAATAGTATTCCATTATGTATGTGTGTATTCCATTATGTGTATACATACACACACACATGTATACACACATATATATACACATATATACATTTACATATATAACAAATACACATACACACATAAACATATGTCACATTTTTTGATCTATTCATTGTTAGATGGGTATTTAGGTTGACACTGTATGTTGGCTATTGTAAATAGCACTGCAATAAACATGAGTATTCAGACATCTCTTTGAAATTGCAATTTGCTTTGCTTTGGATGTATACCCAGTAATGAAATTGCTGAATAATGTGGGAAGTCTATTTTTAATTTTTTGAGGAACCTCCATACTATTTTCCATAGTGGCTGTACTAATTTTTATTCCCACCAGCAGTATGTAAGAGTTTCCTTTTCTCTGCATCCTTGACAGCATTTATTATTTTTTAATTTTTGACAATATCCCTTCTAACCTGGAGCGGGTAATGCCTCACTGTGGTTTTAATTTGCATTTCTATAATGATTAGGGATGTTGAACATTTTTTCATATGTTGAACATGTGTTTCAAATGTTGAATATTTCTGCTGGCCATTTGTATGACTCCTTTTGAGAAATGTCTACTTAGGTCTTTCAGTCATTTTTAATTTGAATTATTTATGTTTTTTATATTGATTTGTTTGAGTTTCTTATGTAGTATAAATATGAACACTTTTTCAGATGCGTAATTTGCATATACTTTCTCTTATTTTATAGGTTTTCTCTTCACTTTTTTATTATTTTCTTTGCTGTACAGAAAAAAAAGAAACATTCAGGCCAATATTCCTGATGAACAAATCCTTAACAAAACACTAGCAAACAAAATTCAACAACACATTAAAAAGGTTATACACCATGATCACATGAGATTTATTCCACAGATGCAAGAATTGTTCACCATATGCAAATCAATAAATGTGATATATTAACAAAATTACTCACAAAAAATTATATGATCATTTCAGTAGATGCTGAAAAAACATTCAATACAATTTTAAATCCCTTCATGGTAAAAACCTTAAACGAACTGAATCTAAAAGAAACATACTTTCATACAATAAAGGCCATATATGACAAACCTACAACTAACATCATACCAAATAGGTAAAAGTTGAAATCTTATCTTCTGAGATCTGAAAGAAGACAAGGATGCCAACTTGTATTTAACATAGTACTGGAAGTTCTAGCCAGAGCAATAATAGGCGAGGGAAAAAAAAAAAAAAAAAAGGACACCCAAATTGGAAAAGAGGGAATCGAATTGTTCTTGTTTGCCAACGACATGATTATGTATAGGAAAACATTAAAGACTCCACCAGAAATTTGGTAGAAGTAATTAATAAACTTAGTAAAGTTTCAGGATACAAAATCAAGATACAAAAATCAATAGCATTTCTATATGTTGATAGCAAACTATCTGTAAAATAAGTCAAGAAAGCAATTTTATTCACAATAGCTATGAAAAAAAAAAGACCTAGAAGTAGATTTCACTAAGGACATGAAAAGACCTATGCAATGAAGACTGTAAAGCATTGACAAAAGAAATTGAAGAGAGCACAAATAAATGAAAAGACATCTTGTGTTCAAGGATTGGAAGAATTAATGTTGTTAATGTTGTTAAAATGTCCATACTACACAAAGCAATCTACAGATTCAATGTAATCCCTATCAAAATACCAATGACATTATTCCCACAAAGGAAAAAAATCTTTAAATGTATGTGGAAAGGCAAAAGACCCTAGATAAACAAACGAATCCTGAGCAAAAATAACAAAGCGGGAGGTATCATGACACTCCCTGACTCCAAAATATAGTAACCAAAATAGCATAAAACTGGGTATAGTAACTAAAATAGCATGGTCCTGGTGAAATAAAAAGCAAAACAGGCATATACATCAAAGGAACCAAGTAGGAAATACAGAAATAAATCTATGCATTTACAGCCCCCCAATTTTTGATAAACACACCAAGAACATACTCTGGGGAAAGGACAGTCTTTTCAATAAGTGGTGTATCATTCATTGTATACAAAAATAAACTCCAATGGATTAAAGACTTAAATGTAAGACTCACAACTTACATGTAAGACTTAAATGTAAGACTCACAACTATGAAATTACTAGAAGAAAACAAAAAGGAAATGCTTCATCAAATTGGACTGCATAATGATTTTTTTTAGATAGGACCTCAGAGGCACAGTCAACAAAAGTAAAAATAGTCCAACTTATATATTTCTTAGTGCTCTTCTCAGGGCATTGCGTGTGTTAATAAGTCTTCACAACAACACTTTGTGGTAGTTTTAGACAGTGTCCCACATTTACCAAAAGGGAACTAAGGCACAAAGTCACTCAGAATACTGCCAAAAGCTGTTCATCAAATGAAAGTAGAGTTGAACCATAAACCCAGTCACCATGGCTGTAGAACCCATCATTTTAACCATTATGATAAATATTCATTGTAAGTATGAGAATTAAACAGTGATATATTTATGCAAGAGCACACTGTATATATAGTATTTGAAATAATTAAAATTATATTACATGTATTAACCTTGATTAACCTCAAAAGGTTTATGTGAGGCAAAAAAAAAAAATGTGGTAGAAAGTCAGCTATAGAATATAAAACATGTATGTACACAAGTTAAAAATATGCAAAAACAAAACCATGTAATCTGTAAATATGTACATATTTTTAAAAGAAAATGACTTGCAGGTGATAAGCAATACATTGAGGGTGGTTGTGATTCTGAAGTGGTATTGGGACTAGAGAATACAATTAGGAAGAGGTACAATAAGGAGTTTAATAAAATTATTACTTTTTAGATAAAGAAGCACTGTCTCATGCATTAAAAACGGCTGTAAAAAAGAAAGAAGCACTGTAGAAGAGAAAGCACATTTGTCATTTATGTGCATATTGGGAATTTTTGATAATTCACTGACTCAGAATGTCATAATGCCAAAAAGTGAGAGGAAACATTTTCAACTCATTAAAGGAAAGTTGAAAGGCTTCCAGGTGTTGTGTTTAGATTGGGAGCACTGGACATCAACCTGTCCTCTCACAGCTGAGCTCTTCTGAGAATGAGATGCTCTCACATGTTTCCACAGAAACTTAAAGCCAAGAACATTCCTCAAACAATTTCAATTAAAACAGTCTATATAGATCAACAACATTAGAAGATGAATAAGGAAAAAGATGTAAGGCTTATGACATAAGAAAAAAATAATGCACAATTCATAGAGCTCAGAAAATCAGCATACTTCTTTAATAAACTTCCATCAGCAGGTAGAATAAAATTTGAGAAAACTGTCACATGTAAAGATGTATTACAAGTGAGACATTCATGGAAAATATCATAAAGCAATAAAGTGAGAAAAGGATCAAATAAAAGGCCACCACGATGTGATAATGAGCCACCAGTATTAAAATTAAGTGAAAGCTATTCTCTTAATAGCTCTCCTTAAGAGGAAGTAGTTATTGATGTGATACAACAGCATTTAAATGTGCATGCATAAAAAGTAACTCAAAGGTTTTCCACTAGGAGATATTGCAGTGGAACGAATTGTACTGCATGAACTTCCTGAAACAAAATTGTGAGAACAAAAACACTAAATAGAGATAGCCCAATTTATAATAGAATTAGAGAGTTCTAAGTTTCTAACATAGATGATACTTTATTTTTAACAATATGAACTTGCAGTATGATAGAGAATAATCAGAATATAAAAATCAACTATGGATAGAAATGACTTGAACAATATAAACTAGTAATAAGAATGAGGATCTGTCATAAGTAAGCCTTACACACACACACACACACACACACACACGAGAAAACTAGATAGAAATTTGTATATCTCATAAAAAGTGTCTCAATGTAGTTAGATGTAGATAGTATAAGGTTGGCAATCTGAAGTGTTAGGCCCTTGGGCTTTTTTTACTAACTGGTTTACTTAATGTAGCATATGCTTTCCACTGAATTCATGATACCTTGACTCATAGTCCAAGGAGACCGAAGCTCTAGTCATCATGTCTACATTTCAGCTATGCAAGCTTAAGAAATCTATCTAAAAGTATCACCTAATATTTCTGCTGACATCTCATTTATTATAACTTAGTCATATGACCAAAGACCAGGTCTGTTACTGTCTGTAAAAAAAATCTTGGTATCACAGGCAACTGTTTTTTTTTTTTTTTTCTTTGAGTCGGAGTCTTGCTCTGTCACTCAGGCTGGAGTTCAGTGGCACAAGCTTCGCTCGCTGCAAGCTCCACCTCCCGGGTTCATGCCATTCTCCTGCCTCAGCCTCCTAAGTAACTGGGACTACAGGTGCCCACCACCATGTCCAGCTAATTTGATGGCTAATAAGTAAAATACAGGAAATTTTCTCTGAAGAAAAATGAAGGTCATGTGCTTGGAGTGTACCACAGAGATGGCATCAAATGTCTCAGTGATGATAGGTGCAGATCTGTCCATTTTACTATCATTTCAAATGGTATATATTTTTATACTTGAGACATATATAAATAATATTAACTTTTATAAATCAATTTTAAAAGGTTAGCACAGTGGTGCATGCACCTGTAGTCCCAGTTGCTTGACAGGCTGAGAAGAGAGCATCCCTTGTGCCCCTAGGTTTTGAGTAGTTTGAAACTACCCTAGGTAACATTGTGAGGACGCCCCTATCTCAATAATAATAATAATGATAAACCATTAAAAAGTTGAAAATGCATTTAGTACACCGAACCTACCAAACATCATAGCTTAACATAGACTACCATTAATGTGTTTAGAACATTTACATTAGTCTGCAGTTGGGCAGAATTACCTAACACAAAGCCTTTTTTATAATAAAGTGTTAAATATCTCATGTAATGTATTGAATACTGTAATGTAAATGGAAAAACAGAATGGTTGTGTGGGTACCATGGTAAAGCAAAAAATTGTAAATCAAACCATTGTAAGTCAAGGATTGGCCGTAGAGACACATACACATACACTATGTACTGCTACCAACTTTTCCTTCAAGACTGAGACTACTTTCATCAGCTTCATGGGCAGACTAAGGATGTATCTGACTGTCTCAGTTGAGTGTCACTCTGCACAGTTGCTTCACACAAGGTCATGTCCTCCTCCCTCTGAAGAGAGGCCATGTTTAATGTCTCATCTACGTGGGGGTAAGAAGAATGGTATAAAGATCTAACCCCCGCACCTAAAGCCATTAAAGCTCTGTTGAAACTTTTGTTGTAACTGAATTCAACTCTTCCCCGCTCCCAATCTGACTTCCTTCTCTTCCTTCAAAGATTATTCCTCAAGGCACTCCCCAATACATTTTTCCTAAATGCAATTACCCATTTCAGAGTCAATCTTCCAGAAAACCACCTAAGAAAAAGAGGCTTAGGCCAGGTGCGGAAGCTCACGCTTGTAATCCCAGCACTTTGGGAGGCTGAGGTGGGCGTATCACGAGGTCAAGAGATTAAGACCATCCTGGCCAACAACGTGAAACCCTGTCTCTACTAAAAATACAAAAATTAGCTGGGCGTGGTGGCACATGCCTGTAGTCCCAGCTACTCCGGAGGTTGAGATAGGATAATCGCTTGAACCTGGGATGCAGAGGTTGCAGTGAGCTGAGATCGTGCCACTGCACTCCAGCCTGGGCAACAAGCGAGACTCCATCTAAAAAAAAGAAAAAAGAAAAAGAGGTCTAATGCCTATGAGTTCACAAAAAATTAATCAATTATTAGATAATAGATTGCATAAAAATTGGAAGTGTTTAATGACAAACCATTGATGAACACACTTGTAAAAAAGCCATTTTTTTGTTTTCATAATAATACATGAGCACTACTTAATTTTGCAAATGCTTCCCTATTTAAGATTTTTAGAGGAACCAAGAAATATCTAATGTATTTCAAACCGCTGTATAAATTATATGTATCATAGATGAATTATTAATTCCCAAAGTGTTAAAATGCAAGACAGTTTGAAGGGAAGAAGGGATGCTAAATAAATCAATGGTGATTTTAATAAACTAGAATCTTTTAGGTACTAAATCTGTCTGCATCTGATCTGAATTGCAATTACCTGTCAAAAATTCATCCATCATCACAAGCTCCAAACAAAGTTTCTTGGCAGCAGATGTTTGAGAAAAGCTATTTTGTGTGGCAAATTTTTCTTGTGGCTTACAACATCCTCAGAAATGAAAAAAATTTCTGGAAACAATTGTGTACAACTCAGCTATAACCTGTTAGGTATAAAAAGTCATGGTTTACTTAGTTTATGTAATTTATAAATACATGCCCTATACAAAAAACATTCATTCATAAATAAATGGTTTGACTTCCATTGTTTCTAACATGCATAAACTTTTATTTCAATGTCTTACAGGAATACATGGAAATGTATGTTGATAATAAATTTGAAGGAAACATTCTAATTTCTTAGTTTTTTCACTTTAAATTGGTTGTAAATAGTATTTAGATAAAATAAATTCAATATAGCCGTACTTTGTACTCTCTATTGATAACTTAGAAGGGTCCCAGAAATAGCATCTACAACAATTTGATAAAAGCTGTAATTAGGGAGGAATATTATTGGTTAAAAAACAAACTATTTTTTTTAACCTTAACTCCTTCACATTTATCTTTTCACTGAAAATAATATTGCCAGTTTTTTAAGGTTTTGTTGCCAGAAAGTGCATTTCTAATTTGACTTTTAACTAAAAGTTGTTTATAAGTAAGTATACTGTCTGGAGTACATTTTCTAATTAATGGTTTATTGATTCACTTACACATTAAATGTATGAATGCTTTTTGTCCATTTTTTTACTCATAATATGTTTACAAAATATTTATTATTTTGTGAGCAAAAACCGAGTATCTTTAAAATAAAACATGAAATAATACCTTGTGACTTAAATAAAAAAAATTTTTTCTATAGTTTTCTTAGATAAGTAAAAGAAAACAATATACATAAATTTCCAAACAGATATGATAAAGTTGACTTCTTGATTTAAAATATCTGCTATTCAAAAATAGCAGATATATCATCAAGAAAGTGAATAGAAATGTCATCAAGAAAATGAATAGAAATGTCACAGATTGGGAGAAAATATCCATAAAACATATAAAAAGATCTCCTATAACTCAGTAATGAAAAGACAAAAATTTCCAATGAAAACATGGAAAAGTCTTTAAATAAAATTATCAAGGATTTACAAATATCCAAAAACATAAACATAAAAATTGCTTAACCTTATCACTATCATAACTTTAGTTATTTTGTACTAAAGTGAAGTGATAATTGAATGTAGCTAAAAATGGGCAATATACGGTTCCTTGTGATGACAGATCTATTCTGTATCTTACCTTTATCATATCAATATTCTAGATGTGGTATTATATTATTGTCCAGCATGTTCAATTAGAGGAAACTGGATAAAGATTATACAGAATCTCTTTGCATTTTTTTTCAAATTTCATGTGAATCTAAGATTATCTTGAAAGAATGTATAATTCAGAAGGTAAATAAAAAACTAGAAATAGATGAACAATTTGAATCTACTTAAGTAGCAAAAATGTCATAACAAAGCTTGAGCACAAATCAGTGAAGTAGGTAATAGAGAAATGAGACAAAAGTAGCAAGGAAAAAAGGTAGTACCTTGAAAAGATCAATAATACTGAAAAACTTCTAACAACTTTGAGAAAGGCAAAGAAAGGAGATGTGAGAGAAACAGGAATGTATGGACCACTCTATGACAAACAAATTTTACAACTTAAAGAATGTAAATTTAAGATAAAGCAGAAAATTTTATTTTTTATTTTTTAAAATTTTAGATTCAGGGGGTACATGTGGAAACATTTACACGAATATTACTTGTGTAATGGTGGGTATTGGGCTTCCTGTCCAGTCATCATCCAAATATAAATATTGTATCCAATAGGAATTTTGGGAAGTTACCAATGTCTATTATCTGCATCTTTATGTCCATGTGTATCCACTGTTTAGCTCTCACTTATAAGTGAGAAAAAGTATATTTGATATGCTTCTGAGTTAGTTGACCTAGGATAATAACCTCCAGCTCCATTCATGTTGCTACTAACAACATGATTTTTTTTTCACTGTGGCTGCATAGTATTCCATGGTATATATATACCACATTTTATTTACCCAAGAAACCACTGGTGAAAACTTAGGTTGGTTCCATGACTTTGCTATTGTGAATAGTGCTGCAATAAACATCTAAGTGGAGGTGTCTTGTTTATATAATCCTTTCTTTTCCACTGGGTAGATTCCCAGTAGGCGGTTAGTGGGTCAAATGGTAGTTCTATTTTTAATTTTTTGAAATTTTTCCATTCGGTTTTCAGTAAGGTTTGAACTAATTTACATTCCTACCAATCATATCTAAGTGTTCTCTTTTCTCCACATCTAGCTAACATCTGTTGGTTTTTGACTTCTTAATAAAAGCCATTCTGATTTGTGTAAGATTATATTTCTGTGATTTTTAATGTGCATTTCTCAAAACGGAAAACTTCAAAACCCTACATTTGCTTAAAAAAAAACTAAATTTATTATTTGAAAAATTTCCACAAAGATCTACAAATACAAATAGTTTTCCTGGTGGGTTACTAAGTAGATATATATGTATAAATAAAGTCTACGGAAAGGGGGGAACTTTGCTCCAGGAAAGGAAGGAACACATACACACTTTTTCCATGAAATCAGCATTAACTTGAAACAAACACTGAATAAAAGTATTGTAAATTATTTATAGATCAATGGCTTTCATAAATACAAATGCTTAACAAATTATAAATGAATCCAATTCAGTAATATTTAAACAGGATAATATGTTACATCTAAAAGCTATTTTCCCCAGGAACATTAATTTATGTTAACATGCACAAATTTCTTAAAGTATTTCACTATAGTAATAAAATTTAAAAATAATATAATTATCTCAATAAATAAAGATAAATTTGTCATAATTTAAAACCCATTCATGATGAATATCCTGAGCAAATTAGAAAGAAAATCAACGTCTTCAATTCAATAAAGTGTATCTATTAAAAACCTACAGTATTATCCTGAAATATTAAATATTTCCCCTAATGTAGTGATGAAGTCAGGCACATAGGCACCTAGAATTTTTTTCAACCATGCGCTAGAGAAATTATCCATTGCATTAAAGCAAGAAAAATAAATTAAAGGCATCTATATCAGAAGGGAAGCAGTAAAACTTTATTTTCACAGATGAAATGACTGTTTACATAGAAAATCCTAAAGAATCTACAAGATGAATATAAAAAGTAATTAGAGAATCTAGAAATGTTCCAGGTAAAAAGTCAAGTCAATACACAAAAATGTATTTCATTTTTTATGCAAGCTTTAAACAATTTAAACAAAGATGTTAAAAAATATCTTACAATAGTATCAGAGAGCATAAGATAAATAGGAGTACATTTCACAAAATATTTCCAAGATTGTTAAAACTGTGCAACATTGCTGAGAGAAAATAATGAAGACCTAAATAAATGGAGAATAATCACATGTGTATGAATTGAACCCTCAATGCATTTAAGTTATTCATTGTCTCCCAAATAAAAATTGCTTTTTAACATAGAATATCTTTCTTATAGAAAGTAATGATCTTCTTATATTTATATTTAAAAAGCAAAAGTTCTGGAACTGCTGAAAAAAGCTTGAAAAATTAAATTGAAGCATTTAAAGTTGATCTAAAGTTGACTTTACATCAAGATTCTGCAAAACTACATAGTCAAGAGAGTGCTATGTTTTTATTATAACTAAAAATTGTTAGTGGAAGAGTTTCAGAAGTAAAACTGCAAACACAGGGGCAATTGATTTTGACAAAGATGCCAAAGTAATTCCATAGACAAATCAAATAATTTTTAATTTTGCTGGAACAACTTGATTTCTATATGGAAAAAACTGACCAACTTTTTACACCACACACACATATTAGAAAAGTATTATAAACTTAAAATTAGAATTTAAAATGTTACAGCTTCTGAAAGAATACAGAAAATGTATTCGATGCCTCTGTGTAGGCAACAATTTCTGAATCTAAATCCAAAAAGCGACAACATCAAAATTATAAATTGCATCTCATTAAAATAAAGACTTATTATATGGACTCTCATTCATTGTTGGTGGTAATGCAAAATGGTGCAATCACTTTGTAAGACAATTTGGCCATTTTTTTTCTTTTTTCTTTTTTTTTTGAGATGGAGTCTTGCTCTGTCGCCCAGGCTGGAGTTCAGGGATGCAATCTCGGCTCACTGCAACCTCCGCCCCTGGGGTTCAAGTGATTCTTCTGCCTCAGCCTCCAAAGTAGCTGGGATTACAGGCATGCACCACCATGCCCAGCTAATTTTTGTATTTTTAGTAGAGACGTCAGCCTGGTCTCGAACTCCTGACCTTGTGATCTGCCCACCTCAGACTCCCAAAGTGCTGGGATTACAGGCATGAGCTATTGCACCTGGCCTAATTTGGCCATTTCTTATGAAACTAAACATACTCTTACCACACAGGCCACCAAACATGGTCTTTGGTATTTACCTATGAACAAGATTGTATTTAGCCTTACAGAGAGTTTATTCATAATTGCCCAAACTTGGAATGCATCAAGATGTCCTTCAATAGGTGAATGGATAAATACACTGTGCTATACTCATACAATTAAATATTATTTAGTGTAAATAAATTAACTATCAAAACACTAAAATACATAGGGGGATCTTAAATGCCTATTGTTAAGTGAAAGGAACCAATTTGACTACATACTGCATGATTCCACTATATGACATTCTGGAAAAGGCAAAACTATGGAGACAATAAAAGTTGGGGGCTGAGGGAGAGATGTATAGGTGAATAGGTGGCACACAGAAAATTTTTAGAGCAGTGAAACTATTGTGTGTAATTTTATTTTTTATTCATGTATTTATTTTTTTTTTTTTGGCAACAAGGTCTCACTCTGTTGCCCAGGCTGGAGTGCAGTGGCATGATCTCGGCTCACTGCAACATTTGTCCCCCAGGCTCAGGCGATCCTCCCACCTCAACCTCCCAAGTAGGTGGGACCACAGATTTGCACCACCATACCTAGCTAATTTTTGTATTTTTGGTAAAGAAGCGGTTTCACCGTGTTACCCAGGCTGGTCTCAAACTCCTGAGATCAAGCTATCTGCTCACGTTGGCCTCTGAAAGTGCTGGGATTACAAGTATGAGCCACTGTGCCTGGCCAATTGTGTATGATATTCTAATGGTTGATACATGTCCTTATAAATGTGTCAAAACCTCTAGAATATATAACAAAAGAATGAATCTTAATGTAATAAACTATAGACTGGTTGATAATGAGGTGTCAGTGTTGGTTTGTGAAATGTAATAAATGTACCACAACGATGTGGGTATTGATGGTAGGGGAGGGTTTGTGTGTGGGTGGAAAGGAGATATGTGGAAACTAATTTCTCCTCCATTTTGCTTTGAACCAAAAACTGCTCTAAAAATTAAAGTCTATTAATTTTTTAAAAAATTTATTTTGAGACAAGGTCTCCCTCTGTCACCCAAGCTGGAGTGCAGTGGCTTAATCTCTGCTCACTGCAACCTCCACCTCCTGGGTTCAAGCAATTCTCCTGCCTCAGCCTCCCAAGTAGCTGCAACTACAGATGTGAACGACTACACATGGCTAATTTTTGTATTTTTAGTAGAGACAGAGTTTCACCTGTTGGCCAGGCTAGTCTCCAGCTACTGACCTCAGGTGATCCACCCACCTTGGCCTCCCAAAGTGCTGGGATTACAGGCGTGAGCCATGGTGCCCAGTCTAACTCTTTTAAATTAACTTATTTTGGTTAAAATTTATCAAAACCACTACTAAGAAAATAAATATGGTAGACAAAACAAATGCTGAATATTTGTAAAGCACTTACTAATAAAAAACTTATGATCAGAAAACATAAATAATTTCTCCAATTCACGGCTAAGACAAGGAAAGCTCAAAATGAGCCTGAAATAACTTTTTCACTGCAGGTTGAGCTTCCTTATCCCAAAAACCTGAAATCCAAAACATTTCAAAATCCAAAGCTTTTGAATGCTGACATGGTGCCACAAGTGGAATATTCCACACTTAGCCACATGGGACCACTCGCAGTCCAAACACAATCTAAACTTTGTTTCATACACAAAATTATTTAAGACATTGTAAAACGCTACATTCAGGCTATGCATGTAAAGTGCATATAAAACATAAACAACTTTTTTGTTTAGACTTGGGTTCCGTCCCCAAGATATCTCATATATATATATATATATATATATATACACACACACACACACACACACATATATATTCAAATATTCCAAAATAAAAAAAAATGAAATCCAAAACACTTCTGATATCAATCATTTCAGACAGGAGATGTTCAATCTGTAGAAAATAAATACTCAAAACCCTTTATTAAGGTAGAATACTAATTGTAAAATCAGTAAGTGCAAAAACCAGTGGGTGAAAGGTGAGATGAGAAAGCATATTTTCATAGTTTCAAAATAGATTCCTTGATATTAGTTATCAATTATAAAGGGGCAAATAATTTTACTACAATGGGAAAACATTGAGAATACAACTTTAATCACATGACTAATGTTAGCATTATCTATAATAGGATAAACAAAATCACATTCTTTCAATGATGCACTAAGAAACCCAATTTTATGTTTGCCAAAGCATGTATAACCTAAATTTAAGCATAAAGAAATATGAGAAACACCAAAGTTGAGAAATATTTTATAAAATAACTGCCTAGCTCAGAAAAGATAAAGGCCAAGAAAGTGTCCCAGATTAAAGGAAATTGTCAATACACAAATCCAATGCATTATTTGAGGCTGGATCCTGGACTGAAAAAAAAAAAGTATAGCTCTGTAATTTACTCTGAAACAGTTATATTTAAAATGTACTGCAGATTAGATAATAAGATTGTATCAGTGATATGTTTTCTGAGTTTTTTACTGTACTGTGATTCATGCATTGAACATTTGGATTAATGTCCTTATTTGGTTAATAACAAATGCAAGTAATTAGGGACAAATGATGATGTTTCTAACTTATTCTCAAATGGCAATCTTCCCTTAGGATGTTAGTACCAGACTGTAAACATAACAGTGCAAACTAAAACCATACAAAGCAATCTTAAATCTCAATAAGAAAAATTAATATTCTGGGATCTTTAAGCATTATTGATTGAACATTAAAAACTATCTTATTCTTACTTATAAATGCATAGAAAAATTAAAAACAGTAAAATGCATATTTATGTTATACACCATAATTTATAGCAATACATACAATTAATTTATTTTATTCATGTGTATAAAACATCAAAACTATCTTATTCTTACTTATAAATGTATACAAAAATTAAAAGTAGTAAAATGTATATTTATGTTACACACCATGATTTTAAATATTAGCAATACATACAATTAATTTATTTTATTCATTTGTATAAAACTTATCAAGAGTAATTTGAACAGTGCTCATCTTTTCTTAATGTGAAATTTACATATAAGTGAGCACCATTTTTATAACTTAGTGAATTATTATTCTACTTCCTAAATTTGAATTTACTTCTAACATATTATCCCTTGCATTTTCAATATCATGAAGCATCTTTGAGAGATTTTTTTTTTTTTGAGACAGAGTCTCACCCTGTTGCCCAGGTAGGAGTGCGATGGCCCCATCTTGGCTCACTGCAACCTCTGCCTCCCAGGTTCAAACGATTCTCCTTCCTCAGCCTCCCGAGTAGCTGGGATGAGAGGCGCCCGCCACCATGCCCAGCTAATTTTTGTATTTTTAGTAGAGACAGGGTTTCACCATGTTGGCCAGGCTGGTCTCGAACTCCTGACCTCGTGATCCGCCTGCCTTGGTCTCCCAACGTGCTGAGATTCCCTGCGTAAGCCACCACGCCCGGCCAAGAGTTTTTTTTTTAATGTGACTTTTTTTGCCAGTGTCAGTCTGGGACATCATCACCCTTCCTGTCACAACCACTGGTCTCATTTATGTTGATAAATTTGTCTTCACTAAATTCCTGTGGCTGCGTATCTTGAATCTTGGTCATCTATTTCTTCTAATTTCTATGGTTATCTGTTGTTTCTTCTGTTTCTTCATTTTTGTTCAATTGGAGTTTCATGCTAGCATTATCATTCTTCATTATTTGCTATACTTCCAGATTTGTTGGTCCATTCCTTCTTTCAATAATTCAGTTGTATAAAATGTCACATGGTTTTATCACTGGGAAACAAAAAACTGACACAACCCCACACACTTTTGTATCTGTGCATGAAATGAATAATGGATACACTGTAAAAAATCAGTGAAAGACTTTGAAAGAAGTGATACAGTTGGTCACTGACCATGATATGCTCCTGTTATTTACAAGGTGACTTATGGACTAAGGAGCTAGCAGCAAAGCTTATACTTGTGCAATTACTCGAAGTTAATATCCCACAGCAACTGAAATCTGAACTGCTTTGTTGGTTGACTGAAATTTAACTAAAACCAGGTAACTGAAATTCATTCTTAATAAAATTATACAAAGCCAGAGCCATCTGTGTTTGAGTGTGTGTCAATTTGCATATGTGTGTGTATGTACATGTGCATGCATACAAACGTGTTTGTGTTGTGGACAGGAAGGAAGGAATAGAGAGAGAGAGAGCAAGCAAATAGAGAGCAAGCAAAATGTGAACAATTGCTAATTTGTGTTAACGTGTATATGGGACTTCCTTGTACTTTTCTTATAATTTCCATAAATTTCGAATTATAGTCTAATAGAAAATTATGAAAAAGAAATAAAGACAGAAATTTAAATAGCAATTTCTTTTCTAAGAACATTTTTAATATAATTGAATGTTTCTCAGATTACAGTTGAATATTAGGAATCATTTATATTCATCAGTTTTATAATCCATTTTTTACAAAACTGGTCTTAACCTCATTATCAGATACTGTACCTATTTCAGAGTAATTATGTAGATGAGACTTCTTGAAAATGGCACTTCTATCTCAGCTGCACCGTAATAAATGTGACTAAAAGGACTATTTAGGTGCAGGTGCTGTCTGTATATAAAGCCATTAGAGAATTTTTGTGACATCCCTCTTGTTACTTGATATAATAGTAACATTCATAGAAAGGAAATATGGTTTGTGATCCTCACAACTTGAACCAAGATTGGACAAGATATGCCCCATATCTGGTATAAAGGCTAAATACTATGTTGCTTAGGAATGCCTGATTTATTGATGTTCTAGTTTCTCAAAACAGAACTCACAAATTAATTTGATTCAA
The DNA here is from genome assembly GCF_000001405.40 of Homo sapiens. NCBI lineage: Eukaryota > Metazoa > Chordata > Mammalia > Primates > Hominidae > Homo > Homo sapiens. The sequence goes on from NC_000004.12 coordinate 115,938,846, forward strand.
GCAGTGATAGCTCAAACAATTAATATATACTGTGTCTGATCTAAGTGACTGAGTTTATTTTTACTGTGGAACATTTTGTTTTGACATACAGATGTGCTATATCCTGAAATTATTGTGCAAGGTCAGCAATTATTCATTATCCTATCAAAAATCAGTGAAAAGTATTACAAGTTAAAGTTTTGGTAGAGATGCCAGATGCAATTAGAGATGATATTAGCAAAATGCTAGAATAACAAATCAATCTATGGCTCAAAATATAATTGTACTTGTCACAATGCTACCTATCTTTTAAATTTCATTTATTTATATATTTTAGAAACAGAAATCTGACGATGTTGCCAAGTCTGGCCTCTAACTCCCAGGCTCAAGCAATTATCCGCTGCAGCCTCCCAAGTAGATAAGAATGAATCACAGCACCCTGCCTTAATGCTGCCTTTCTAACCGGTAGAAGATTAGATAAGTAAGGGGTTTTTTATTTTACAAATAATTTTTAAGAAAGATTTGCTTCGCAGCTTGATCATGCTTTTTATTTTTAATTTTATTTATGTTTTAATCCAGGTGTCCAGCTCTACAACCTGAGATATCTATCAGATGCACCTTTTTTTTAATAGAGATCTGGCAATAAGCCTGTTACAAATATTTTTTAAAATATGTCTTGATTTTAACTTATAGTTTTTATTTCATCTCCTGTTTTACATATTTGTTGTTGAAAACCATGAGCATTTTTGAATATCAATCATTGGAATTAACCTGAACCTACTATAAATTATAAATATCCCGATTATTTTATAAAAGTTTGAATTTGTCCCCTATTAGCTCTTCTCAATATGTTTTCCTTTATCATTTCATTTTGAAACTTGATTTTGGCATGAAAAGACAAAGACGAAAACAGGATTTATGTAGAAAGAGAGCATATATTCTTGTAAGAACTTAGGGAATTAGATCTTTGCCATAGACACTATGGTCTCCTAACTGTACCCCTAACCTTCTTGACTGATGCTTCTCCAGTGTAGGAGACACTACATAGATTATAACTAAATCCTGTTACCCCAACAATATTTTGTTCCTCCCAGAAGAAAGCTGTCATTCCATGGCTGATTAAATGGAGAGCATTAATAATACCAAGCCTCTTGCTGCTAACTGAGAATCCTTTGGAAACACCATCCCATCTCTACAGCTTTGGTAGGAATACCTGAGGTCAATTATGACCACTCTGCGTTCAATTTCTCCCTCACCCAATCCTTCCTCCCTCAGGTGGTGTTCCTCAGGACATTTCGTAATTAAGGCACTTGTACACAAATTTCTTTTTGAGTCTGTTTTTGGAGAGGCCCAAACTATGATGGACAAGGATAACATCCCTGAGAAACAATTTTGTTAGCATAATTATATTTTAATTTTTAAGAAATATTTGCTTTATATTCTGACATTCCGTCGAAGCCTTTGACGTTTAACAAGACGAATGTTTAATTTTTTGTGCAACAAATATTACGGGTATGAGATACATCAGAACAATGTATCATAAAGGTGCAAGAAGCTATCTAACAGCAATGGTCCACAAACTTTATTATTTCTCAGAAAAACATGTAAGGCTGGAAAAAAACATGTTGTGAGGTTTTACCCCCAGAATTTTACAAGACAGACTTTAGTAGTTTCTTTTCTTCTTCTTTTTTTTTTTTTTTTTTTTTTTTTGAGACTGAGTCTTGCTTTGTCTCCCAGGCGCCATCTCATCTCACTGCAACTTCCGCCTCCTGAGTTCAAGCGATTCTCCTGCCTCAGCCTCCCAAGTAGCTGGGAATACAGCCATATGCCACCACGCCAGGCTAATTTTTGTATTTTTAGTAGAGATGGGGTTTCACCATGCTGGCCAGGTTGGTCTCGAACTCCTGGCCTCAGGTGATCCGCCCTCCTGGGCCTCCCAAAGTGCTGGGATTACAGGTGTGAGCCACCGTGCCAGGTCCCTTAGTACTTAAGTAATAAATGTCAGAAATTTTAATGATGTCACATGGGAAGTTTCCTTTAATAAGAAATTTTGACAAATACAAAAATAGAGGGTTGCTTTTTATTTTGATTCCATATAAGTAGTTTATTATCTTACCATACATAACTGTGTAACTATAATTATTTTACATATACATACATATTTTATATATACATGCATACATATATGGATATACATAACTATATGATTAAAATGCCTCTCCTCATTATTACCATATCCCAGAATACTGCTGATTGCACTTGATAAATACAACTGTCAAAGAGACTGCAATTGGAGGACACAACTCTTAAATTTCAGGCCATGTTTTCTTTGGTGTTTTACAACACTTCCTGTTAAAAAGTTAAACCAATAGTGAGCAATTACAAATAATTTTAGAATTAAGTAATGAATTTAAAGAAAATAAATCAAGCTCTAAATATTTCACTGTATTTTATATAATTATGTGTTCTACAACCACAATACAAGCACCAAAGTGGTTATATTTAGAAAAACATGTAACAAAATATAGTAGCCCACCTAGAAGGAAAAGTCACAAACGATAATTCAAACAAGTCTTGAGATTTTAATATTAACATGCCATGTTTGCATGTTGAATATACTGAATGTGACAATGACAATCCTATCTGAACATAATCACAGCACAATATTTAATAAACTTATGTGTCATATTGGAATAGTAAACTCTAATCAGAGACCTAAAAGAAAGTGCAATGAAATAAAACATACAATGATATCTTAAGTATTGATCCACCATTAAACTGCAATGCTATATCACAGAATTAAGAAGCATCTAAAAAACAGTCTGAAGTCAAGCAGAAATATTTAACTGTAAAAGAATAGATAAATATGTAGATACTGAAATTTTAAAATGCATATTAGACAAAAATGTTATTGTTTTTCTCCCGAAAGTAAACAATACCTCACAATTTTTCACTATGGCATCTAGGTGTTACCAAGTAGATATATTAAAATTAGAATGAACCTAACATAAACTTTATAGATTTTATTTTGATGAAGTAACCTCTCTCCATTCATCAAGTAAGTCACACACTAGCATTACATATTAGTATAAAAACAAGTACATATTTAGTGGTAAATTGATAGAAAAATATTTACCTATGACAATAGCAAAATATTTATTGAAACTTAAAATTATAAATATAAGACTATATATACATAATTTCAAATTCTAAATGTTTCATTGTGTTTTATCTAATTCTCTGTTCTACAAGTGCTAAATAGGTACTGAAATGCTTATACAGACATGGACATATGACTACAGACAAGGACATATGGCTAAACAGAGTAGTCACCTACCTGGGAAAGTTACAGACAAGAGCTCAGTTAAGCATGCATACATACACGCACGCATACATACACACACACACACACACACACCCCCCACTGGTTAATACTCAACAAACATACAGTAGTGATAGTGAAGTATATGTTAAAAAAAAAAAATACCCCACAATCAGCAAATCTATAGCATAAAATGTGAATGTGTGAGGACTTTATTAATGGAGGATTTGAAACAAGTCGTAATTCTGTTTGTTTCCAAAAATAAACGCATGGATGGTGAAACTCATAAGGATAATTTAACTTGAAGAAGATGGATATCTAATACAAAGATGAAAGAGGTAAAAAATACAAAAGTTTATACAAAACTAATTTTAGGAATTAAAATTCTATCCAAGTAATATGCATTATAAAAATTATTAGAAAAGACCATGTATTCTAACAGCCTAACTGAAGTATTTTCATGCATTTTTATGTGACACGAAATTGTTATACTGTACATGCATTTTTATGTTATATTAAATTGTTGCAAAAATTATCTTTAGTCACATACCCACAAAGCACTAATGTTTTGCAATCAAGACCATATATGACAAAGATCTAATTGACATAATTCCACTAAAATCATTGTAAATAGTTACTATTGGGAATCTTCATAGAATCAAATTACAAGAAAAAATAATTGTAAAATTATCTCAAAGCCACATTTTATCAAAGAGTGAAAAACTGTTTTCAAAACAAAATAGGGCAAAGGAACCACATTGCAATATGTTGACAAAATAATCCTTCTATAAAGACTATATATAACATCAGATAAAGACAATGTTACTATGTTGTCAGGAATATTTAGCCATAATTATTATAGGGAGATAGGGTTGCTGCTACATTACAGAGACAGATTCAGTTAACCAATGAATGTTGAGCCCATGTTATTTTCAGGCAGACTCATTAATCTTAAGACTTAGCACTCAAGATAAATAAATTAAATAAGAAATTGGATTAAATTTTTCAACTACATGAAAAACAACAGGATTGTTGGGAAACTGGAGAAAATAACACCATCAATAAACCCCACCTCACGAAACATCATACAGATGCTCCTCGATAGGGTTACATCCTGATAAATCCATCTTAAGCTGAAAATATCATTATGTCAAAAATGCATATAATATGCCCAACCTACTGAATACCAGTGCTAAGCCTAGCCTACCTTAAACATCTCCAGAATGAAACTGTCCCTATTAACTTTATAAAATTAGTCAGAGAAAAAGGGAGGAGTACAAACAAAAACAAACCCAGCTAGCAGCACATTCAGCATTAATCATTAGGTCAGCTTGCTCTCTGATCAGCTTCCTGATAGTTATTTGCTGCCTCTTAACTCAGAATTACATAGATCCTGTCACAATATAATCATTTTCCTTAACTGCTCTATAGATTAACAACTTGACTATTGTTAAACATTAAGTTTTCCATATAAGATATTCTGTCAGGTCTTGCATACTGCTGAAACTCCTGGAATAAGACTGGAATAAGACTTCTGATACTAGCTGGTCTTCAGGACCCCACAGGAGCTGACTCACCAAAGAATACAGTTTCTACATTCTCATGATTTTATCCTCCTTACTCCAACCAATGACCCCAATTTCCCAGTCTCTCAAACTCCATGATCCTTTTAAAAACTCCAGCCCAGAATTCCCCAGGGAGATACACTTGAGGTTTCCTCCCATCTCCTCACTCATCTGCCCTGGGATCGTTAAATTGTTTCTCTGCTGCAAATCCTGCTGTCTTGGTGTTTGAGGATGTTACTGCAAGCAGGCATATGAACCTGTTGATCCCTTAACAACAACAATTACACTAGCCTAAAATTGAGGACAATCATCTAACACAAAGCCTATTTTATAATAGGGTGTTGAATATGTCATGTAATGTATTAAATGCTGTATTGAAAGTGAAAACTAGAATGGCTTTATGAGTACTCAAATATAGTTTCTGCTGAATGCATATCACTTTAGCACCATCTTAAAGCTAAAAAAATCACAATTTTTTTTTACAGGAAGTATGTGGATAACCTCTTGTAAATAGACTTCTGTGAGTTGTCCAAAGACGTGAAGATATTTGCATCCCGTATGAATGCTTACCAGTGGGTGACCTTAACAGTGGAGAATTTTAACAATCAAGCAGATAGAATGTCACATTCCATGAACACCAGTCAGCCTTTTTCCCTAGCCACCATTGTCATTGCCTATGAGTTTATGAACAAAGTGGCCATTGTGGCATGGACGGAGATTATGCGTGGGATCAACAAGAACTCCCACTCACTAAGGTTTGCCTGATTATGGCCACTGCTGAGGACTCAATCTGCCAACAGAAGAGATAAACACAAAGCCCCTAATATGATACCATTCCTCAGGATGATGAGCCAGCTACCTAGTGGCAGGTTGATTATAATGGATTGCTTCCATTATGGAAGAGGCAGCATTTTGTCTTCACTGGAATAGATACTTGCTTTGGATATGGATTTGCCTTTCCTGATTGCAATGCTTCTGCCAAAACTGCCATCTGTGAACTTACAAAATGCCTTATCCACTGTAATGTTATTTCACACAGCATTGTTTCTGACCAATGAACTCATTTTGCAGCCAAAGAAATGTAGCAATGGGCCCATGCCCATGGAACTTACTGTTCTTACCATGCTCCCCATGACCCAGAACAATTGTCTTGATAGAACAGTTGGAATGGTCTTTTGAATTTGCAGTTACGACACCAGCTAGGTGATAATACTTTGCAGAGCTAGTACGATGTTCACCAGAAGGCTGTATATTCTCCAAATCAGTGTCTAAAATATAGGATTGTTTCTCCCATAGCCAGGATTTATTGATCCAAAGATCAAGGAGTAAAATTGGAGTGGCACCACTCACGTTACCCCTAGTCACCAACTGACAACATTTTTGCTTCCTATTCCCAGGGTTTTATTTTCAGCTGGCCTAGAGGTCCTAGTTCCAGAGAGAGAAATGCTTCTACCAGGAGATGTGACAATTAGATCATTGAACTGGAAGTGGCCACCTGGCCACTTTGGGCTCCTTATGCCTCTGACTCAGCAGGCTAAGGCAGGGAATTACTGTGTTGGCTTGAGTAATTCGTCCTGACTACAAAGGGAAAACTAGGTTACTATTCCAAAATGAAGGAAAGGAAGCATATGTCTGGAATACGGGAGATTCCTTAGAGCATTTCTTAGTATTACCATGCCCTGTCATTATGGTCAATGGGAAACTATAACAATCCAATCCAGGCAGGATTACAAATGTCCCAGATTCTTTGAGAATAAAGACTTTGGTCACCTTGCCAGGTAAAGAACTACAACCAGCTGAGGTTCTTGCTGAAGGCAAAGGGAATGCAGAACAGGTAATAGAAGACAGTTATAAATACCAGTTATGACAACGCAGCCAGTTATGAAAACAAAGACTGTAATTGTCATGAGTTTTTCCTTCCTTTTTTGTTAAGAATACCTTTGTGCATATATACATATGTATTAAACGACTATCTTTGTTTTCTTACTTCTCTTATATCTTCATCATGTACAAAGCATTTATTGACTTTATATCATTTAAGTATCATTAAGTGTATATGATAGTATTTAAGTTACGAGATATCAGGGGAAGAATAAACATCACCCAAGACACTATCTTCTCCTCTGGGAAAGGGATTATTGTGTTTTTGGTTGCATGAGGGAGAGCTAGGTCATGTTATGTCGAACTATGACCTTGTCATTGTTTTTATTTTTATAGTAAATATGGTTTAAGATGTGTATGTATGGGTGCCAAGTTGACCAGGGGTGGAATTATGATAGTTAATTTTAGGCATCAATTTGACTGGATTGAGGTACACCTAGATGGCTGGTAAACATTGTTTCCATGTGTTTGTAAGGATGTTTCCATGGGAAACTGATGTGTGAGTTAGTGGACTAAGAGAGGAATACCAAACCTCAATGTGCGCTGGCACCATACAATTAACTACAGACCTGGTTAAGACAACCAGATGGAAGGAGAGGAACTTTCTCTCTCTGTTCTCTTTTTCCTGCCCTTCTGGAGCAGGGCACCTTTTTCCTTCTGCCCTTAGACATCAGACTCCAGGTTCTTTGGCTTTTTGACTATGGAACTTGCACCAGAAGCCTCTCAGGGGCTCTCAGGCCTTTGGCCTCAGACTAGTGACTGCACCGTTGGCTTTTCTGGTGCTGACACTCCTAGACTTGGACTGAGCCATGCTAAGGATTCTCTGGTTCTCCAGCTTACATACAGCTTATCATGTCTCTTCTCCACTTCTGTGATTGTATAAGCCAATTCCCTAATAATTCCCCTCTCACATATTTCACGGTTCCTGTCTCTCTGGAAAACACTGACTTACGTAGTAGGGGACCATCTATATTGATCTTTCAGTAAGAAAATGTTCTCAATATTAGAAAACCTGAATAAGATAGCATTATATAATACAAAATATATAATGAGTTGTTGAATGGGTTTTGAAATATAATAGGTTCACACATTATGAGAAAAATTTATAAAACCAGAATTACTCATTATTAAATACATATAATTCCAGGCACTGTCTTAGGCATCATGGCTATATAAATAAATAAAACATAAAAGTTTATTATCTTCCAGAAACTTTTATTCTGATGGAAGAAAAAGGCAATTCAACACATGCATAGACATATATAAACACACATAAGATCAAGCATTTGTACCCATTTGGTACAAATAAAGTGTAAAAGTGGTAAAAGTGTAAATCAAAAGTTACAATCTCATCTAAAAACAAAATAAAATTAGACAACAAAGGCATCTGCAATTGCAGGAATATGAGATTAAATAAACAATGTGATATAGTTTATATCTTGAAGGTATATAATGGAATAATGAAAAAGACATACAAAAAATATTTTAAATAATATAAAAATATAAAAAATAACATGCATAAAGCTGAGGATGTTTGAGGAAAGAAGAAACAGTTACTTAACAAAACAGTAACGATATACATAATATAATAAAATAAAATATAAACAATAAAAAAATTTTTAAAAAGAATTTAAATTATTCAAAAAAAGACAATAAAGGGGCCATTAAAATCCTCATGCACCCTCATAAAAATTTTAAATTCCTTATGAGGAATTCCTTATTAAAATTTTAAATTCCTCCTCATGAGGAATTTAAATTGTTTATGAGGAATTTAAAATTTTTATGATGGGTAATAGATTTCCAAGTCATATTTCCAAGGTTTATGAGGTTTTATTTTGGAAAATGAAAATTAAAAATTAAAAAGAATGATAGCGTTTTAGATAAAACTATCTGGAATATTAAAAAATGGAAGTCTAATAGTAAATATATATTTCATTAAAACAGAACAAGGATTAAAATTAATATTGGGAAGAAATCAAAAGAAATATTAAACAAGATATTCTAAAAGCTATGATGATTTTTTGCCCACTAAGATAGCCTCTGATTTAAGGATGTATGGACGGTTTTTAAAAGGTTATAGTACTTAATAATAGGTTTCAGGGATATGTAGTAGCATAAATTGTGATTTCTTAATATTTTGATATATTAAACTGAGAGGGTGTGAATTTATTTAATCATATAGTTTATTTTCCTCCAATAATAAACGTTGTATGGAAGGATTAAGGAGATGCTGGCCAAAGAATACAAACTTTCAGCTATACAGAAGAAATAAATTCAGAAAAATGTTGTACAATATGGTGACTATGGTTAATAACAATGTATTGTATATTTGAAAACTGCTAAAAGTATATTTTAAATATTTTCATCAGTTAAAATGTAATTGCTGTTCTGAATAGTGTCTTTGCTATTGTGAATAGTACTGCAATGAATGTGGGGGTTCATATATCTTTTTGGTAGACAGACTTGTTTTCTTTAGGATATATACCCAGTAATGGGATTGCTGAGTTGAATGTTCATTATAAGTACTTTGAGAAATCTCCAAACTGCTTTCCTTAGTGGCTGAACTAATTTACATTCCCACTAACAGTGTATGAGTGTTTCTCTTTCTCCCAAGCCTCACTAGCATCTGTTTTTTTATTTTTTTAATAATAACCATTATGATTCATGTGAGATGGTATCTCATTGTAGTTTTGATTTGCATTTCTCTGATGATTAGTTAGGTGGAGCATTTTTTCATATGTTTTTTGGGCTGCTTAAATGTCTTTTTTTGAGAAGTGTCTGTTCATATCTTTTGCACATTGTTTAATGAGATTATTCTGTTTTTGCTTGTTCAATTGTTAAGTTCCTTACAGATTCTAAATACTAAACCTTTCTTAAATGCATAGTTTGTGAATACTGTCTCCCATTATGTAGATCGTCTGCTTACTCTGTTGTTAGTTTCTTTTGCCAGACAGAATCTCTTTAGTTTAATTAGGTGCCACTTGTCAATACTTGTTTTTGTTGCAATTGCTTTTGAGGACTTAGCCATAAATTATTTTCCAAGTCTGATGTCCAGAATAGTATTTTCTATGTTTTCTTCTAGGTTTCTTATACTTTGAGTTGGTACATTTAACTCTCTAATCCATCTTGAGTTAATTTTTGCATATGGTGAGAAACACAGGTCCATTTTCATTCTGCATATGGCTAGCCAATTAGCCTAGCACCATTTATTGAATCATGACTCCCTTGCCCTATCGCTTATTTTTGTCGACTTTGTCAAAGACCAAATGGCTGTAGGTGTGTTGCTTTATTTCTGGGTTGTTTATTTTTTTTCCTTGGTCTAATATGTCTGTGTTTGTAGCAGTACCATGCTGATTTGGTTATGTACCCTTATAATAGAGTTTGAAGTCAGGAAATATGATACCTCTGGCTTTGTTCTTTTTGCTTAGAATTGCTTGGCTATTCAGAATCTTTTTTGGTTCCATAGGAATTTTAAAATACTTTTTCTAGTTCTGTGGAAAAATGTCATTTTGATAGGAATAGTGTTGTATCTGTAGATTCCTTTGGGCAGTATGGCCATTTTAACAATACTGATTCTTCCAATTCATTAGCATGGAATGCTTTTCCATAGGTTTGTATTGTTTATGATTTCTTTTGGCAGTGCTTTGTAGTTCTCCTTGTAGAGATCTTTTGTTCCTTAGTTAGATGTATTCCAAGATTTTTTTATATGTGGTTATTGTAAATGGCATTGTAGTCTTGATTTGGCTCTCAGCCTAAACATTATTTTTGTATAGAAATGCTACTGATTTTTATACATTGGTTTCATATCCTGAAGCTTTACTGAAGTCATTTATCCATTCCAGGAGCCTTTTGGCAGATTCTTTAGGTTTCTCTAAGTATAGGATCTTAACATCCATGAAGAGAGATAGTTTGACTTATTCTTTCCCTATTGGGATGCCATGTATTTATTTCCCTTGCCTGATTGCTCTGTCTAGGCCTTCCAGTACTATGTTGAATAGGAGTGGTGAGAGTAGGCATCCTTGTCTTGTTCAAGTTCTTCAGGGGTATGCTTCTAGTTTTTGCCCTTTTAGTATGATGTTTGTTATGGGTTTGTCATAGACAGGTCTTTTTGTTTTGAGTTATGTTCCTTTGAAGCCTAGTTTGTTGATGATTTTCATTAAGGAATGTTGGATTTTGTCTAACGCTTTTTCCACATCTATTGAGATAATCATATGATTTCTGTTTTTAATTGTTTATGTGGTGAATTACATTTATTGTTTTGTATATGTTGAATCACTCTTGCATCCCAGGAATGAAGTCTATTTGATCATGGTGAATTAACTTTTTAATATGCTATTTAATTCAGTTTGTTGATATTTTGAGGATTTTTGCATCTACGTTAATCAGGGACACTGGCCTGTAGTTTTCTTTTTTTGTGGTTGCTTTGCCAGGTTTGTGTATCAGGGTGATCGTGGCTTCATAAAATGAGTTGAAGAGTCCCTCATCAATTTTTTGGAATAGTTTTAGTAGTAGTGGTAACAGCTCTTCTTGTATATGTGGTAGAATTTGTTTATGAACTCATCTGGTCTGAGGCTTTTTTTTTTTTTTTTGGTTGCTAGTTTTGTTATTACTAATTCAATTTCAGACTTGATATTGATCTGTTCAGTGTTTCAATTTCTTCCTGATTCAGTCTTGAGATATTACATTTCCAGTAATTTACACATTTTCTTTAGATCTTCTGGTTTACCTCTAGAGATGTTCATAATCTCTAAGGTCATTTTGGATTTCTGTGGGATTGGTTGTAATGTTGAGGGAAGAGAGAGACCCTCTCATATTGTTTTATATTGTTTTATACTCAGTACCTGTTTTAAGAAAAAAACAAGGAAGTGAAATCAAAGACAAGCAGTCCAGCGCCAGGCCCAAAACCAGGCCTGGGCCTGCCTGGCCTAAACCTAGTAGTTAAAAACCAACTCATGACTTAGAACCCCATGTTACCCATAGATTTCAGGCATTGTATGGAAGAACATTGGGAAACTCCCTGCTCTGTTCTGTTTCACTCTGACTACCAGTGCATGAAACCCCTGTCACGTATCCCCTAGATTGCTCAATCAGTCACAACCCTTTCATGTAAAATCTTTAGTGTTGTGAGCCCTTAAAAGGGACAGAAATTGTGCACTCGGGGAGCTCGGATTTTAAGGCAGTAGCTTGCTGATTCTCCCAGCTGAATAAAGCCCTTCCTTCTACAACTCGGTGTCTGAGAGGTTTTGTCTGCGGCTAGTCCTGCTACATTTCTTGGTTCCCTGACTGGGAAACGAGGTAACTGACATATGGCCGAGGCAGCCCCTTAGGCAGCTTAGGCCTGCCCTGTGGAACATCCCTGCAGGGAACTCTGGCCAGCCTGAGTGACGTGATCCAAGGAGCGCTCCCAGGTAGAAAATTGCCCTGGTGGAACGCCTCACCAGAGCAGCGCATAGCAGGCCCCCCATGGAGGATTAACACAGTTGCTGAACACCAGGAAGGAAATGGCACTTAGAGTCCAGACATCTGAAACTTGATAAGACTAGTCTTTGGAACTTGCCCCACTCCATCTGAGTGGAAGCGTGGCCTGATCACCCACGGTGTGCCTGTATTGGCACTTTTGTTCTGGTTTTGACTTGGCCTGACTTGGTAAGTCTAGTCTTTGGAACTTGCCCCACTCCATCTGAGTGGAAGCGTGGCCTGATCACCCACCGTGTGCCTGCATTGGCACTTTTGTTCTGGTTTTGACTTGACTTGAATTGCTGGATACTTTGGTTTTGGTTTTGACTTGGCTTGAATTTTTTGGTTCTAGGATTTTGAATTTCATGATTTTGGTTTGGTATAAATGGTAAAAGTGTGTGTGTGCCCTCTTTACCCGTTCTTTGTCTTGTGGTGAGTGTGTGTAGTGTGAGTGTGGTATTTTGTCTTGAAAAAAAAAATGGGTCAGGTGCAAAGTAAGCCCACCCCACTGGGAACTATGTTAAAGAATTTCAAGAAAAGATTTAATAGAGACTATGGAGTTACTATGACACCAGGAAAACTTAGAACTTTGTGTGAAATAGACTGGGTAGCATTAGAGGTGGGTTGACCATCAGAAAGAAGCCTGGACAGGTCCCTTGTTTCAAAGGTATGGCACAAGGTAACCTGCAAGCCAAGGCACCCAGACCAGGTTCCATACATAGACAGTTACAGCTGGTTTTAGACCCCCTTCCGCACCACAGTAGTTAAGAGAACAGCAGCATAAGCGGCTGGCAGAGGCAAGGAAAGACCAGCAGAGAGAAAAAGAGGCCATCTGTACCAATTCTAAGTTAATTTAGACTAAACAAGGCCTTATTAATAGCAAAGGATAATTGAAATCCCAAACTTATAAGGTTTTCAACAAAAGTGAAGTTTGCTAAAAGTTAACAGTGTAACATGTATTATGGTAACTTCTAATCTTGTGGCCTTAGACAGTCTAGTCCAAAGACATAAAAAAAGTTCACTTTAAAAAAGGAGAAAAAGGGGGGAGGCAGAATTTATATAAAAAGAATCTTATATGGTAAATTCTTGTCCTGAAATAAATTAACTGGTTGTTTTAAGAAAAAATGTAGTAAGTCAAAAAGTTGAGACATGTTGAAAAATTGTTTGCAAAAGTCGTGAAAGAAAAAAATATTATAAAAAATTTTATGCAAAAAATGTTGTATAATTTAAAAATAATAAGGCCTCCTGAGTACTATTGAAGAAACAGTTTATGTGCAAGGTGTATAAAAAAAGTAAAATATACCTTTGGTAAAAAGATTATAAGGAAACATAAGAATGTGGATTTTTACTTACATTAAAAGGTTAAAAGAATTATTGTTTTAAAAGTTTAAGCAAGTTTTAAAACATTAATTGTAAAGAAAATTCCATGTGTAAACATATTAGCTAAAGTTAAAAAGGTATCATCCAGTTTTTCTGTGAACTGGACATTAAAGTAAAAATGCAACAGATTTTTCTTAAAGCATCAACCTGCTCTTTAACAAAAAGTATAAAAGGTTAAAAAGAGTCTATAAAATCTTAACTTATAGTCAAACATGAAAAATTCAATAAATATGTCTACAAGGTTTTATTAAAATTAAGTTTAACATTAATAACACACTAATATAAAGGTAAAATTTAGTTTATCTGGTATAAAAATCATACAAGCAATATTATTAAATATAAAATGGTGTTTAGCTTTCTTTGATCTAAAAACTAATAAAAATAGGTGCTAAAGGAAACATTCATTTTACTGAGGATCATAAAGGTTAAAGACTTAAAACAAACTTTGGCAATTAAGACAGCATACCAAGATGCAAATGCCTGGTTGAAATGGATTAAATATTCCATCTGCACGTTAAACAAAAGCAATTGTTATGCTTGTGCACATGGCAGGCCAGGGGCCCTGATTGTCTCCCTTCTACTAAGGTGGTCCTCCAGTCGACCAGGCATGGGCTGCATGGTAGCTCTTTTCCAGGATTCTACAGCCTGGAGTAGTAAGTCATGCCAAGCTCTCTCTGCTATATCCTGAAGTCCCTGCAGGTCAGTCCCCGAGGGCTATCCAGCTTCTGTCTCTCAACACTAAGTTCACTTTGTGTCTCTCACGTCAGGGAGGAGACTTAGCACTCCTTGGAGACCTGAAAGTATGCAGTAAGCTTAAGAATTTTCAAGAGCTTATCAATCAGTCAGCCCTTGCTCATCCCCGAGCAGATGTGTGGTGGTATTGTGGTGGACCTTTACTGGGCACTCTGCTGAATAACTGGAGTGGCACTTGTGCTGTAGTCCATTTGGCTATCCCTTTCACCCTGGCATTTCATCAACCAGGAAAAAAAAAATGGCAGTTGGAGTTTTAACCCAGACTGTAGGGCCCTGGCCAAGGCCAGTGGCCTATCTCTCAAAACAACTAGACAGGGTTTCCAAAGGCTGGCCCCCATGTCCAAGGGCCCTGGCAGCAATGGCCCTGTTAGCACAAGAAGCAGATAAGCTAACTCTTAGGCAAAACCTAAACATAAAGTCCCCCCATGCTGTGGTGACTTTAATAAATACCAAAGGACATCATTAGCTAATAAATGCTAGACTAACTAGATACCAAAGCTTGCTCTGTGAAAATCCCCGCGTAACCTTTGAAGTTTGCAACACCCTAACCCCGCCACCTCACTCCTGGTATCAGAGAGCCCAGTTAAACATAACTGTTTAGAGGTGTTGGACTCAGTTTATTCTAGTAGGCCCAACCTCTGAGACCACCCTTAGATGGTAGACTGGGAGCTGTATGTGGATGGCAGCAGCTTCGCCAACCCCTGCAAAGTGATCTGAAGAAGATGGCAAACACTGCTCCGGTCACACCCAGAAGCTGACTGGTCCACGCATGGCTGAAGCATGAGGAAACTCATCGCGGGACTCATTTTCCTTAAAATTTGGACTTGTTCAGTAAGGACTTCAACTGACCTTCCTCAGACTGAGGGCTATTCCCAGTATATACATCAAGTCACTGAGGTAGGACAAAAGATTGCTACAGTCCTATTATTTTATAGTTATTATGAATGCCTAGGAACTCCAAAAGGAAACTGTTTGTATAATAACACTCAGTACAAAGTATGTAATCCAGGAAGTGACCAGCCCAATGTGTGCTATGACCCCTCTGAACCTCCCATGATCACAGTCGTTGAAGTAAGACTAAGGACTGGTCCTTTTCTAGGTGACACAAGTAAAGTAATAGCTGGAAGAGAAAAAAGAGGGGTCCCCAAACATGTAACCTTAAAATTTGATGCTTGTGCTGCTATTCATAGTAATCAGCAAGGAATAGAGTGCAGTTCTCTAGATTGGAAAAAAGTTACACAGTAAAAAATAAGTATACCTGTCAAGAATCATATTTATGTGAGATGTGTCAATACTGGTCTTGTGTTATTTGGACTACTCAGAAAAAAGATAAAAAAAGATCCTCTTTGGCTCCGGAAAGGAAAAGACAGCCCCTCCTGTATGAGTGGGAGCTGCAACCCTTTACAATTGGTAATCACAAACCCCTCAGACCCAAAATGAAATAAAGAAAAATACGTATCATTGGGCATTGATGGAAAAGGACTAAATCTTAGCGTAAACATCTTAATAAAAGGGGAGGTTCAAAGATGCTCTCCAGAACCAGCATTTCAGACTTTCTATGATAAACTATATGTGCCAGTACCAGAGACTCCAGGAAAAAACAGAAATTTGTTTTTGCAATTAGCCGAGCATGTAGCCCAGTCTCTAACTGTCACTTCATGTTATGTTTGTGGAAAAACTGTAATAAGAGATCAATGGCCATAAGAAGCCTGAGAATTAGTGCCTACAGACCCAGTTCCTGATGAATTCCCGGCCCAAAAGAATCACCCTGATCATCTTAGTTTCTAAAAGTCTCAATTATTGAACAATATTGCATAGCTAAAAAAAGAAAAGAATTCACTCGTTCTGTAGGATGACTTAGTTGTCTGGGGCAAAAACTATATAATGGTACTGCAAAAAAACAATTACATGGTGGAGTTCCAATTACACAGAAAGAGATCCATTCAGTAAATTTCCAACATTGCAGACTGTCTGGGCCCACCCAGAATTCCACTGGGACTGGACTGCCCCCACCGGGTTATACTGGATATGTAGACATAGAGCCTACACAAAGCTGCCTGACCAGTGGACATTTAGTTGTGTTGTTGGCACTATTAAGCCATCTTTCTTCCTACTGCCCATAAAAACAGGCAAACTCCTGGGTTTCCCTGTCTATGCTTCCCGTGGAAAACGAAGCATAGCCATAGCTAATTGGAAAAATGATGAATGACCCCCTAAAAAAATTATACGTTACTATAGGCCTGCCACTTAGACACAAGACGGATCATGGGGATACTGGACCCCCATTTACATGCTCAACCGAATGATACGGTTGCAAGCTCTTTTAAAAATCATCACTAATAAAACCAGTCAAGCCTTGACTATTCTGGCCTGGCAAAAAAAAAAAAAAACTCAGATAAGAAATGCTATCTATCAAAATAGATTGGCTCTCCACTACTTACTAGCAGCTAAAAGAAAAGTCTATAAGAAATTTAACCTTACTAATTATTGTCTACACATGGATAATCAAAGGCAAGTAGTTAAAGACATAGTTAAAAATATGACAAAACTGGCACATGTGCCAGTACAAGTGTAGCATGGATTCAACCCTGAAGCCATGTTAGAAGATGGTTTCCAGCACTAGGAAGATTTAAAATTCTTATAATAAAAGTTATAATAGTAATAAAAACCTGCTTACTGCTCCCTTGTTTGCTACCTGTACTTCTTCAAATGATAAAAGGCTTCATCACTACCTTAGTTCACCAAAATGCTTCAGTGCAAGTGTACTATATAAATCACTATCAATCTATTGCACAAAAAGATATAAGTAGCAAAAATAAAAGTGAGAACTCTCTCTAATAAAAAGTGAGAGTCTCAAAGGGGGAAAATGAGGGAAGAGAAAGACTCTCTCATATTGTTTTATATTGTTTTATGCTCAGTACCTGTTTTAAGAAAAAAATAAGGAAGTGAAATCAAAGACAAGCAGCCCGGTTCCAGGCCCAAAACCAGGCCTGGGCCTGCCTGGCCTAAACCTAGTAGTTAAAAATCAACTCATGACTTAGAACCCCATGTTACCCATAGATTTCAGGCATTGTATGGAAGAACATTGGGAAACTCCCTGCTCTGTTCTGTTTCACTCTGACTACCAGTGCATGAAACCCCTGTCACGTATCCCCTAGATTGCTCAGTCACAACCCTTTCATGTAAAATCTTTAGTGTTGTGAGCCCTTAAAAGGGACAGAAATTGTGCACTCGGGGAGCTCGGATTTTAAGGCAGTAGCTTGCTGATGCTCCCAGCTGAATAAAGCCCTTCCTTCTACAACTCGGTGTCTGAGAGGTTTTGTCTGGGGCTTGTCCTGCTACAATGTCACCTTTGCCATTACTGATTGTGCTTAGTTGCATCTTCTCTCGTTTGATAATCTAGCTGGCAGTCTGTTGATCTTGTTTATCCTTTCAAAGTGCCAACTTTTGGTTTCATTAATCTTTGGTATGAATATATGTGTCTCAATTTTGTTCAACTCTGCTCTGAATATAGTTATTTCTTTCCTTCTGCTAACTTTGGTATTAGTTTGTTTTTGTTTTTCTAGTTCCTCTAGGTTTCAGGTTAGATCATTGATTTGGTATATTTCTATCTTTTTGATGTAGGCATTTAGTGCTATAAACTTTGCTCCTAACACTGCTTTTGCTACATCCTTGAGATTTTGATATATTGTATCTGTGTTTTTATTTATTTATTTATTTTAATTTCTGCCCTACTCTCTTTGTTTACCCAAAAGTTATTCAGGAGCAATTTGTTTAATTTCCATTTATTGATGTGGTTTGAGGGTTCTTCTTGGTACTAATTTCTATTTTTATTCCACTGAAGTCTGAGAGTATGGTTGGTATCATTTCAGTGTTTTTGAATTTATTGAGACTTGCTTTATGGGCAAGCATGTGGTAGATAACAGAGTATGTTCTATGTGCAGATGAGAAGAATGTATATTCTGTGGTTGATGGGCACAGTATTCTGTAGCTGCATATTAAGTCCAATTGGTCAAGTGTTCAGTTTAAGTCTAGAATTTGTTAGTTTTCTGCCCTGATGATCTGTCTAATGTTGTAAGTGGGTTGTTGAAGACCTGCATTATTATTATGCAGCTATCTATTTCATTTCTTAGGTCTAGTTGTGCTTATTTTATGAATGATGGTGCTCCGTTGTTGGATGCATATATATTTAAGATAGTTAAGTCTTCCTATTGAATTGAACTCTTTATCATTATGTAATGACCCTCTTTGTCTCTGGTTACTGCTGTTGGTTTAAAGTATGTTTCATCTGATATCAGAATAGTGACTCTGGCCCTTTATTGCTTTCTGTTTGCATAATAGATATTTCTCCAACCTTTTATTTGAGCCTATGGGTGTCATTGCATGTAAGATGGAGCTCTTGGAGATAAGGACAGCTGGGTCCTGTTGTTTATCCAACTTGCGACTCAGTGCCTTTTAACTGGGGGCATTTCAATCATTACCATTCAAGGTTAACATTGATATTTGAGGTTTTGATCCTATTGTGAAATTGTTAACTTGTTACTTTGTCATCTCTATTGTTTGTCTGCCTTACAAGGTGTGTGGGCTATGTATTTAAGGGTATTTTTCTGGGAGCAAGTATTATTCTTTTTTCCTCATGTTTACAATTCCCTTGAGGGTCTCTTGTAAGGCTAGTATAGTGGCAAAAAGTTCCCTAGTGCTTGCTTCTATGGAAAATCTGTTATTTCTCCTTTGCTTATGAAGCTTAGTTTGGTGGCATATAGAATATTTTTGGAATTTCTTTTAAGGATGCTAAAAATAGGCCCCTAATCTCTTCTTGCTTCAGGTTTTTTAAAAAACCTGAAGTCACATACAGTATTCTGTAGTTTGTAGAATTTTCTTTCTTAACAAGTATAAGTTTATGTACTTACATACCCATTTTTGAAGACATGTATTTAACAAACATTTTAAATGCATTTAAAAACAATGTATGTAACAAAATACATACCAATTAAATTTTAAATAGAAATTCTGAAATGGAGGTGAGAAATTCAATTCTATTTTTTCAAAAATAATTTATGCTTATACAAATCATTTAAAATATATTGTGTATATACTGAATTCAGTCAGCTACACAAATTATTGGTTAAACCTGATGTATGTTGTTCTTTTGTTAATAAGTCATTTTCTAATGAATATTCTATACCCAAGTTTCAAATGAAATCCCACTCTCCTACTCTACTGTTTGTTTTTTAATATTATAAATATTTGAAGAAATATGTTCATATTCTTGTGATGAAGTCAGAAGAATTTTTTTACTGAAACCTGGGTTATTCAAAAAATAATTTATTTCTATACTATATCATTTTATACTTAGTGAATTTATTTAGGAAACATATACATTGTATCATATTTTTAATAGTTGAACTTCAGTAAGGAGCTATTTTTTTCACTATAGAATATTTTTTTAAAAATCTGAAGTATGCTGTTTGCGATATCTTGTCTATGTCAATACTCTAGGAATCACTTTACATAGTTTAGTATAAATTAGTTAAGCTAACTTCCCTTCACTTTTTTTTTTTTTTGTTTTTACACCTTTTGTGACGAAATTAAAAACGTTCCTTCAAAAGAGTTCCTTTTTCTTATATAGCAAAGATAGAAATCCTTGTCCTTCCTGGTGCAAAAGGAAAGGGGAGAGTAGATAAATGTATATTACATTTATGTGAGGGAAAAATAGATGCTTTATGGGAGACACAAAATAAAGCAAGTGATTTCTGTCTTTGTAGATTATAAATCAAACTGTAACTAATGATTGAAAAACATGTTGTCATTAAAAATTTCATAAATGTTTTCTGAAACTACTGTTTTTCTCTGTCATACAGTCTATGCCAAACATCACGATTGCCAATGCTTTTTTTCAAATAGATGGGTGTTTCCTGTTTACTTTCCACTTAACTGATCTATGAAGGCTTATACTGGAAGTATTCAGTTTATTCACCTACGAAATTAATTTTGCTGCTGCAAATAAATTTGCTTAGTTTAAAATCATCATGGGATATATCAAGATTAACTTTATTGCCTAAGATTTGAAAAAATATAATCATATCTTTTTTTATTTTTTATTTTTTATTTTTATTTTTTTTTTTGAGATGGAGTCTCGCTATTTCACCCAGGCTGCAGTGCAGTGGTGCGATCTCGGCTCACCGCAACCTTCACCTCCTGAGTTCAAGCAATTCTCCTGCCTCAGCCTCCTAAGTAGCTAGGATTACAGGCACGCGCCACCACGCCTAGCTAATTTTTTTGTATTTTTAATAGAGATGGAGTTTCACAATGTTGGCCAGGCTGGTCTTGAACACCTGACCTCGTGATCCACCCACCTCAGTCTCCCAAAATAATGGGATTACAGGCTTGAGCTACCACATGTGGTCAATTATATCTTAATAAAACAACAGACTGATCATCTTAACATTGTAAAAAAAGACACATTTATTGATTTACTTTACATTTTACAGACTAAACAAAATTTTGTGTAAATATGTTCTTTATTTTAAAATCACTACTGCCAAAATATTAAAATATGAAGGCTCATAAAAAGATCATGACTTTAATATTTCAGCATATATAAATGAATTGATTGTATCAATTTTATATAAAAATGTTTATTACCAAAACAAGTATGGTAAATCATACTTGTTTTATACTTTATTATATTACATCATTCAATATTCTTCAATCACACTATAATAATTCAGAATTTAGTTGTGTACATTTTAAAAGTTTTACTTTTTTAAAATGTGGCTATACTTTTAAGTTTTAAAGCAGGCTATTTGAAAGTGAAAGACAACTTGAATATTATTTATTCTCCCTGTAGAAAAGAAAGTCATAATTAGCCAGGCATGGTGGCACCTGCCTGTAATCCCAGCTACTCGGGAGGGTGAGGCAGGAGAATTGCTTGAACCTGGGAAGTGGAGGTTGTGGTGAGCCGAAATCACACCACTGCACTCCAGCCTGGGCAACAAGAGCAAAACTCTGTCTCAAAAAAAAAAAGAAAAGAAAAGAAAAGAAAGTCATGATCCTGTCATTTGGTTGTATTACCTAAATGTTTTCAAAACATAATAACCTCTATACATCAATATTATCTTTATAAATAAAATTCTCCAAGCAATCTAAATATTGGACAAATTCAAAGTTTAGCAATTGAATTATTTAGGCAAAATAGTTATTAAAATAAAATAGCATGAATCATAGAAATAGTTTAAGGTATATATGGATATTAATATCTTTCAATGTTCAAAAACAAATGTCCTTAATACTTTGTAAATTGGGTATCAACACCTTCATTTAAAAGAAATTTATATAATTATACATGTTTTCCCACAAAATGGTACATAATGTTTGCTTGTAAGCTGTATTTATAAAATACACATATTTTACTAGATCAAGTATAACCCAACCCATTTTAACAGGATAAAAAGTTTTGATACAAAGGTAACAATAGGAATGATATGTTCAATCTATTTACTCTTTCCTATGCTCATAAACTAAACTCCTCTAATAATTTATAATATGGGAAGTTTCAAATGTTTTGAATCTTCAGTTCATCAATCTTAGTTTTAAATGTCTGTTGAAATCTGCTAGAAAAAAATAGATTACATAATTCTAGATTATTTAGGATTAATGAAAGGATTTTTTTTCCCTCGAGTCTCAAAACTGTTTTAATATTAATACAGTCAAAATTTAAATGCAATTTTAAGTAGGAAGACCACAAAATTAACTGAACACCTTAAACATAAAATTTAATATCAAAGTATTTATGGCTAGATAGGGACATATATTATTACACTTCATTTTATTCTAATGAAATATAAGCTAAAATTATTTTAACAGTGTATCATAGTTAACACAGTAAAATAGTCTTCATCTCTAACCTCCCAAGAATTTTCCAAATGGAGTAATAGAAAATAAAATATATAGCAGGAGGGAGTTTAGCTCGAAGGTAGAGCATTGGACTGCAGATCAAGAAAATAAAACATATAGTGTAGATATTAACCAATGTCATATTACCAACTTTGCTGTCAAAGACAATGTTTTTGTAATTATCTGGAAAAATATATACAATATTGTCATGTATTTTAGTGTTTGGAACTTCATGAGTTATATTCTTTCACCCGACACATATTTCAGTCTTACTATATATTTTATCAATAGAATAAATTAGAGAAAATCTAAGATTCTCACTTCATGAATCTTACAATATAATATTGATACAACTGTAAGTAAAATAGTTATACAAGTGAGTGCATTTTACTAATTTTTACAACTGTTTTTAAAGGAAGGTACTGATATCGGCAGAGGTTATAACTAGAGAAATTAACTGACCTGTGGGGTGTCAAATAAGGATTTATGAAGATATGATGAAAATCAAACCCAGCAATAAATAAGAACCATAATATGACATGGCCAAGCAGTGTTACATCAGGAATTCAAGATTGATTTTTCATACGAAAACTGATCAATGCAATTCTACATATTAAGAGATTATAAAAAAGTATTTGGCACAACTGAAAACTTATTCATGCTGAAAACTCAGAAAGTTATAAATAAAATTGAACTTCAAGCTAATAAAAGATATGCATCAAATATTTAAAATTAATATTGTATTTATTAGTAACAGATTGAATGCTATCTCTATGAATTCAAGAAAAGTAAAAAGGTCCACTCTCACCACTGCTCTTTGTTATTACAAAAAAATCCTACGCAGGGCAGTAATGCAAAAAAAAGTAGCATATATTTCCAATTTTGCAGATATAGTAAACTTGTGCAAAATTGGAATTAAACAATCTTTTAAACTATGTTTATAAGCAAAAATATGATTATTCTGTAAATCCCATTCAACAAAAATGCTGTGAGAAAAAAGAAAATTTAACAAGATTTTAGAATACCATGCCAATATTGAAAAAAACTACACTTTTATACTATAAACAAATGATTGGGAATTCAAATTCAAAACGATAAATTTTCAATTTACCATAGGATGCAAAAGTATGAAATGATTAAAGATATATAAAATAAAACACGCAGATGATCTTTACAATGAGAAGTCCAAATGTCAGAAAGAGAAATTAAGACATAGCTATGAAATATTTATATATTGAAAATATCAATATTGTTAAATTTAAATTATCTTAAAATTATTCTATCAATTTAATACAATTACAATAAAAATTCCAGTTGACTAATTCTTGGTGAAATTAACACACTCTTTACAAACTTTATATTTGAATGCACACGTCATAGAATAGCCAATTTAAAAAAAAATAGAGAAAATATGGAGGACTTCCCTTACATGATTTATTTTGAATATTTCTGTAAATCTAAAATGATCAAAACAGTGTAGTAGTAGTATTAGTATAAAGAGAGATAGGTTAATGAAGCAAAATAGACTATCTCAAAAATACCTGAATATATGTGGCCAGTTGATTTATGAAAAAAGGTGTTAAGGAAATTTAATGGAAAAGAAATCATTTTTAAAGAGTTTAAAGTGCACTGAATCTGTAGATTGCTTTGGGCAGAATTGTCATTTTAACGTATTGATTCATCTAATCAATGAACATCAGCGTTTTTTTTTCTTTTTCATTTGTTTGTGTCACGTATGACGTCTTTCATTAGTGTATTCCAGATATCTTTCACTTCTTTGGTTGAATATACACTTAACGATTTCAATTTCTTTAACTTTTCCCTGTTCAGTATGATGTTGGCTGTGGATTAGTTATATACAGCTTTTGTTATTTTGAGGTATATTCTTTCAATGCATAGTTTGTTAAGGGTTTTTATCATGAACGGATGCTGATTTTTATTGAAGGCTTTTTCTGCATCTATTGAGATAATCTCATTTTAAAAATCTGCTTATATGGTGAATTACGTTGTTTATTTGCATATGTCGAACCATTCTTGCATTCTTTGGATAAAACCTACTTGATCATGGTGTATCATATTTGTGACGTGTTGTTAGAATTGGTTTGCTAGTCTTTTGTTAAGAATTTTTTTCATCTATGTTCACCAGGGCTATTGGCCTGTACTTTAGCTTTTGTTGTTGTGTCCTTGCCTGGCTTTGGTATCAGGGTGATACTGATTTTGTAGAATCAGGGAGGATTCTCTCCTCTTTGAGTTTTTGGAATAGTTTCAGTAGAATTGGTACCAGCTCTTCTTTGTATATCTGGTAGAATTCAGCTGTGAATCCATCTAATCCTGGGCATATTTTTTGGAAGAATTATTATTATTGATTCAATTTCACTGCTTATTGATTTTTCAGGAATCCTATTTCTTCCTGGCTCAGTATTAGAAGGTTGTATGTTTCCAGGAATTTATCTATTTCCTCTAGGTTTTTAAACTTATGCATGTAGAAATGCTCATAGTAGTCTCTGATGAACTTTTGTATTTCTGTGGTATCAGTTGTAATGTCACCTTCATTTCTGATTGTGCTTATCTTAGTCTGCTGTCTTATTTTCTTGGTTATTCTAGCACGTAGTGTATCAATTTTGTTTATATTTTCAAATAACCAACTTTTTCTTTCATTGATCCTCTGACTTGTTTTATTGCTATCAAATTGATTTAGCTCTTCTCTGATCTTTTTTATTTTTTTTTCTTCTCCTACCTTTGGGTTTTGTTTGTTCTTGGTTTTTCTAGTCCTGGAAGTGCAACATTAAGTTGTTAATTTGTGCTTTTTCTATCTTTTTGATATAGTCATTTAATGCTATAAATTTCCCTCTCAGCACTGCTTTTGCTCTATTCCAGAGGTTTTTGATGTTGGGTCTCTACTTTCATTTGTTTCAAAAAGTTTTTAAATCTCTCTCTTTATTCTATCAGTGATCCAAAGATCATTCAGTCATATGTTCTTCAATTTCCATGCATTTATATGGTTATGAGACTTCCTCTTGTTATTTGTTTCCAGTTTTATTCCACTGTGGTATGAGAAGATACTTGGTATGATTTTAATTTTTGAAATTTATTGAGACTTGTTTTGTCACCTAGAATATGGTCTTTTTGGAGACTGTTCCATGCCCAGATAAGAAGAATGTATATTCTGCGGTTGTTGAGTAGAATGTTTTGTAAATGTCTGTTAGGTTCACTTGTTCTAGAGTTCAATTTAATTCCAGTGTTTCTTTGCTAATTTTCTGCCTTGATGATCTGTCTAGTGCTGTGAGTTGGGCTATTATTATATTGCTGTCTATCCCTTTTCTCAGGTCTAGTACTATTTGTTTTATGAATCTTAGTACTCCAATGTTGGATGCATGTATATTTAGTATTATCTTCTTGTTGAGTTGATCTGTTTATCTTTATATAATGACCATCTACTGGAGGCCATTATCTTAAGTGAAGTAACTCAGAAAAAAGAAAGATAAATATTGAATATTCTCACTTATAAGTGGGAGCCAAACAATGGATACATATGGACATACAGAGTGGAATAATAGACATTGGAGAATAACAGACATTGAAGACGCCAAAGTGTGGGAGAATGGTAGAGAGGTGAGTGATGAGAAATTACCTATAGAGTACAATTTACATTGATCACATAATAATTACACTAAAAACCCAGTCTTCACCAATAAGCAATATATCTACATAACAAAAATGCACTTGAACTCCCTAAATCTATTTTTACAAGGGTTTGAAAAGATGACAAAAACAAAATTCAATCATTTTCTTATGCTACTTATGAACTAAAAATTAGATATAAAAACTAAAACTTCTCTAGGCCATCATAGGACACAGTAATTATAACTTTAACAGTGGTCATAAGATATTTTAATTAGAACAAAAATATGGAAACAATTTTAAAAATTGATAAATTGTACTTCTTTAAAATTAAAATATTTGTTCTTCAGAGACACAGTTAAGAACATGAAAGAGCCGGGCATGGTGGCTCATGCCTGTAATCCCAGCACTTTGGGAGGCCGAGGCAGGCAGATCACGAGGTAAGGAGATCAAGACCATCCTGGCTAACACGGTGAAACCCTGTCTCTACTAAAAATACAAAAAATTAGCCATGCGTGGTGGCA
The DNA here is from genome assembly GCF_000001405.40 of Homo sapiens. Classification (NCBI taxonomy): domain Eukaryota; kingdom Metazoa; phylum Chordata; class Mammalia; order Primates; family Hominidae; genus Homo; species Homo sapiens. The sequence continues at coordinate 115,965,224 of NC_000004.12, forward strand.
CCTGCCTGTAGTACTAGCTACTCAGGAGGCTGAGGCAGGAGAATCACTTGAACCTGGGAGGTGGAGGTTGCAGTGAGCTGAGATCGTGCCACTGCACTCCAGCCTGGGCGACAGAGAGAGACTCCGTCTCAAAAAAAAAAAAGAACATGAAAGAATCACAAAATGACTGAGAAGACATGCACATTACGGTTAGATGATGGGCTTGCTTCCTAAATATACAAAATATATTTAAAATTTCATAATTGGAAATAAAAAACTCAATGAAAACTCAATAAAATTGATTAAAATATTTACACCAGACATTTCACAAAAGAAGACAAAGAAATGGTCAATAAAAAAAGTTCAGCATCATGATTTATATGGTAAATGCAAATTAAAACACAATAAAATGGCCACCGTATACCCAATAGAATTGTTAAAATGAGAAAGACTGACATTACCAAAAGTTGGCGAGGATATAGCGTAACTGGAAGTTTTATATATTCCTTGATGAATGCAAATGATTCCATTCTTTGGAAACAGTTTGTCTATTGTTTAAAAAGTTAAAATTGGACTTACATCTGAATCAGCAATTTCACTATCATGTTATTTCCTACAAAATATAAAAATCCACAAAATTATATGCAAATATTTACAATGCTATTAAAACATTGCAAACATAAGAAGTAAATGTATGTTAACAGTCAAATGGACAAATTGTAAAAAATCACCTAATGGAATACTACTCAACAATGAAGATAAGTAAATTAAGATATTCATATGTTATATAGTTTACCAATACAATTTAACATCAAAATATGCTAGACTCAGATGTTTTATTATTACATTTATATAAAATATTAACAATTCAAAATCTCATCTATTATGACAGAAGACAGATCTGTGATTGCCCTGAGACCATGAATAAGATGTGCTTTGCTGAGAAGGGGCACAATAGAACCTTTTACAGGTAGAAATGTCACATATTTTGATTGTGGTGGTAGTGCAGAGGTAAACAAATTAATAAACATTATTAAACTGTGGACCATAGATTAATATTTTATTGCATTTTAACTATTCTTTAGAAAGTTGAAAAAAGACAAAAAATGTAATAAAGGTTAATTTACAGAATTAATTAAAATGGAGTATAGAGATAACTGGATTTCATTCTTTCAGCAATACAAAAGCCAGTTATTCTACATTGTACTTTAATGGCTAGAGGACAGAAATACATATTACTAATTTCTTATGTTTCCATTTTGTGCAATATTTCTTCAAAATATTATTTAAAAATAAATTAATATTTATACAAATTTGTGAAAATACTACAGTAATTTCTATTGCTAGCATCAAACATTAGCCTGGTATATTTGTAATAACTAATGAATAAATATTGATATATTACTAATAAATGAAGTCCATACTCTATTCAGAATTCTTAATTTTTACATAATGTTCCTTTTCCCTTTTAGAATCCCACTCAAGATAACACATTACATTTAGATAGCATGTGTCTAACTACTCTTAGCTGTATCAGTGCTCAGCCTTACCTTGTTTTTTATTACCTTCATAGTGTTCAGAAGCACTGGTCAGATGTTTTGTAGACTGTCCTAAATTACAAATTAAGTGTTTGTATTTCCTATGTTTAGACTGAAATAATTTTTGGCAGGGGAGGAGAAAGATTCAAGAGGTAAAATGTCATTCTTATATCAACATGACTTATTACTGCTGGTGTTAACCTTAATTATCTGGCTGAGATTATGCTTGTCACATTTCTCCACTTTAAAGTTATTCTATTTTCTCTTTTTTCATGAAACACTTTTGAAGGATGTCATTATGCACTGGCCACACTAAAGGTGTGAGGAGTTAAGTTCCAGCTCAGTGAGGATGTATTATCTACTTAAATAATTTGGAATTTGTCTATATGGGTGATTTATCTATTTACTCCATTTATTAAATAAATTATTTTTAAATTTCAGAATGGATTTATGAATATGTATTTTATACTTTGGGTGATAATTCTACACATTTTAAATTTTTTTCCTACTCAATTTGTTCCAGCTTTGTCTGCTGGAAACACTTTCAGTTGGCTTATTTGTCTATTTGACAAGCCTCATCATTGTTTTTGATGATACAAGATGTATAAAGCTCTTCTTTGGTATTCTGTACCCCAGTCTTAGACTCAGCTATTTTTACTGCGTGCCCTTCTTTCTCATATTTGAAAGTGTTGTATAAAACCAACATCTAGGTACTAGATGGATGTGCTTGTTGTTAGTTAGGTTGTCTCTAGGCCCTCTAAGTTGAAAGAGCAAAGAAATACGTGTATATATTAACCATGCATATACAAACTTCTGTAAATATGTGTATATATATTATATATATATATATTATATATACCAACCTGTATATATATTAGAGTAGATGAAAGTGCATACTGAATTCTCTGACTCTAATCTAGTACTTCATAAATAATTTCAGTCATCTACATTTCTTGTCTGTATGCTCCGATTTCAACAGCAAGAAATCTGTCACCACCATAATTCACTTAATTGCCTAACTATACTACACATGTACAGCAGTATCAGAATTGTTATCCTGTACTACTATGTTAAACAATTTTACCAACTATATTACTATGCTTATGTATAGCCCTGCTTGCCATTAGTCTTACAGTTTTCCTTTGTCTCTAAAGTTATTTAGGCCAGTGATAGACTTTGGCTCTGTGTCCCAGCCAAATCTCATGTTGAATTGTAATTCTCAATGTTGGGGAAGGGACCAGGTGGGAGGTGATTGGATCATGGGGGCGGCATTTCCCCTTGCTGTTCCCATTATAGTGATTGAGTTCTCATGAGATCTGATGGTTTAAAAGTGTGTGGCACTTTCCCCTTCACCCTCTCTCTCTCCCTCTCTGCCATTTGAAGAAGGTACTTGCTTCCCCTTAGCCCTTCTGCCATGATTATAAGTTTCCTGAGGCCTCCCAGGCATGCACCCTGTACAGCCTGTGGAACTGTGGGTCAATTAAACTTCTTGTCTTCACAAATTTACCCAGTCTCAGTTAGTTCTTTATAGCAGCATGAGAACAGACATTAGACCATTGCTGAATTAACAGACAGCAACTTTTCTCCTACACTCTTCAGTGAGTTAATTTTATACATTTGTTATATGGTTAGATTCTTTTGTCTGCATTTAATCCTGGGGTGCTGTGACCCCCTAAATATTTTTTAATCTGCCTAAAATAGGCTTACTTCATATAGTAAATTTTTATGGGTTTTAAAAAATGTTTAGTGTTATCTACTACTGCTGTAGTACCACACAAAATCATTTTGCCACCCTAAAATCTGCTCTTTACTTTAGTTATTCAACTCACTGCAAGCTCCAAACCCCTCCCAGCCAATTATCTGTTTACCATATCTATGGTCTTGCTTTTTCTAGAACGTTATATAAACAATATTATACAATACGTAGCCTTTTGAGTAACTTCCTTCACTTTGTAATATGAATATAATATTCACTCATGTTTTTGCATTGCTTGATGGTTTATTTCAGCACTGAATAGTATTCTAGTATATGGTTATACCATACTTTGTTTATCCATTTCTGGGAAGATTACTAATTAAAGATTAAATTTATTTATTTCTGTAGATTATCAAATGTATATTGTTTCTTGAATCTGCATTGTAATTATAGAGCTTTAGAATTTACTTCCTGTATTGATTTGCTAGGACTACTATACAAAGTACCACAAATTGGGTGAATTAAAGAATATTAATTTATTGTCTAAATAGTTCAGGAACCTAGTAGTATGAGATCAAGGTGACAGCAATGCTGTATTTTTTAATGCTGTGAGGAAAAATCTATTCCATGGAAATCTTTGGAATGCCTGGCTTGTAGATACATCATGCAACCTCTGCTTTCCAGTTCAAATGGCGTTCTATCTGTAAGCATATCTGTTTTAAACTATCCTCTTTTTATAACAACACCTGTCATGCTAGATTTGGTCCCACCCTACTCCAATATGAACCCATGATAATTGAATGAATTACATGTGAGATTATTTCATTCCCATACAGGTTCACATCCTGAGGTACTAAGGTTTAGGACTTCAACATGCGTTTCAGGGGCATGTAATTCAAATCATAACAGTCCTTTTCATATTTAACAATATATAACATTTAAAATTAAAAGTTGCTTATATTTCCTTTGTATTAGTTTTCAAACCACTGCATGACCACACAAAAACCTTTGACAATTCTGTAATGTAAGTTCAGATATACCTTTTAAATATCCAGGCATATGTTATATCTGGTTTGTTTTAATACCCAAAATGATGATTTACTACCTTTTAAAAGAGTGTTTCGTGATTATTGATACATAGGTGTTGACCACCTTTTGGCTTTCTTTGTATTTATCTACAAAGTTTTGGCTCTTTTTCTTTATTTACTTATGTTATTGGGTGGTCGGCTTTAATTTCCATATTCACTGTACTGTATAAAAATTGGTGCAAAATTTTTTGCTCCTTAGCTTAGATAAAATACTGGTTCTTGTCTCACAACTAGGAAAAATTAGGCACACAGACACATTGAAGGGTGAGGAGAATGGAATTTATTAAAAGAAAGCTCTCAGCAAATAAGAGGGGGCCCAGCCAACAGGCTCCCACCTTACAGATTGAATAGCAGGTCACCACACAGGAGCTAAAGAGGCCCAGCTCCTCCCCCTGCATTAGGCGTGAATTCCTGGTGGCTCCACCCCATTCTCCCAGTGCACATTCAGGCCCCCAGTCCCTTGTGGGCATGCCCAGGCAAGACCCTGTGCAGGTTCCCTTATCTGCCTCCTGCATCTATCAGAACTATATTTAATCATTATTTTAGTCAATACACTTCACCTTTTACTATGCATGAGTGAAGTAATTTGATTAGTAAAGTTATCTTAACACCAGCCTTATGAAAATATGAATAATTCAAATATTGTATTCACTCACAAGATTACTATTGTTGTCTATTATTTTACTTATGTCTATTTTTAACTTCCTCCAAATAGACACCAGTGTCATGAGCATTTTACATAAATTGTCTTGCATTTTTTTCTAAAATTTTTATTTACTTACAAAACTTTTCTTCATGCTTTATATTACCGATATTTCAGGAGGTTATGCTTTTCTACCTGAAACACATCCCTTTTAAATTCTTTGAATACATGCCGTTGGTAGTAATACTTTTTATTTTTTATTTTACTGCAACTTCCGCCTCCCAGGTTCAAACAATTCTCCTGCCTCAGCCTCCCAAGTAGCTGGGATGACAGGCGTGTGCCACCATGCCCATCTAATTTTTGTGTTTTTAGTAGAGACAGGGTTTCACCATGTTGACCAGGCTGGTCTTGAACTCCTGACCTCAGGTGATCCGCCTGCCTCGGCCTCCCAAAGTGCTAGGATTACAGGTGTGAGCCACCATGCCCAGCCTTATTTTTTAATGTGAAAATTAAATTTGTCTTTGCTTATGGGAGATAATGTAATGGGCACAATATTACCCTTCAAAGTTACCTATGCTCTGTTCCTGGGACCTGTGAATACATTAGATCGCATGACAAAGGGGAATTAAGCTAGCAATTGAAATTAAGTTTGCTAACCAGCTGATCTTGAAATAAGGTGATTAGCCTGGGCTTTTCAGGTGGGTCCAGTGTAATTCCTGAGGTCAGAAAAAGAGATGTAAGATAGATTGGTGGCTCATGTCTGTAATCCCAGTACTTTGAGATACTGAGGTGGGAGGATCACTTGAGTCCATGAGTTAGAGATCAGCCTGGGCAACAGAGCAAGACCCCCATCTTTACTAAAACAAACACACACAAAAAACCCAAGCATGGTGGCACATGCCTTTAGACCCAGCTACTTAGGAGGCTGAGGTAGGAGGATTACTTGAGCCCAGGAGTTTGATGATGCAGTGAGTTATGATCATGCCACTGTACCCCAGGATGGGCAACACATCAAGACCCTGTTTCAAAAAAAGAAAGGAAAAAGAGATGTAAAGATGGGAACAGGGTCAGACGTGTGTTGCCGATTTTGAAGGTGAAGGAAAGGCTATGAGTGAAGAAACAGTGGCTTCTAGTCATTGGAGAGGGCAAAGAAATGACTTATCTCAGAGCCTCCAAAAGAACAAGAACTGTAAGATAATTCATTTCCATTGTTTAAACCACTATATTCGCGGTAACATATTGTAGCAGCAATAGAAAACTAGTAAAAACACTTGTTTGGCACAAAACTTTGACAAATACTTTTTTTGACCTTTGAATATAGTTCTGTGTTTAGTATGGCTTCTACTGACTGTTCATGTCAAAAATGTTTTTGTTCTAGTTAGTTTTAAGGTTTTCACTTTGTATTATTCTGGTATTTTTGCTAACATTTTCCCATTTATTCCACTGAGGTTTCTCTTCCTCTGGCTCATTTGTTTTATTAGTGCTAAAAAAATACTTAATCCCTTCAGATAGTTCCTCTATCCCATTATCTATGTCCGTTTTTTCTAGGACCCCGTTTAGATGTTTGTGAGAACTTTTTATTCTACCTTTCTTATATTTTTACCTTTTTCTATTTTCATTTTTTAAAATCTCTCCATAATACATTCTGCTTCATTTCTTCAGTTCCAAATACAAGTTTCCTAATTCTCTTAAAAGCTCTTATTTCATATATCATAATTTTTAGAAAACTTGAGAAGAATAATTTGATAAATATTTATTTCTGAGAAATATTTTCTTTTGTTTCCTCACTGGAACCAAGGAATAATATCAACCTGATACACCTCCAGGTGTTTCTAATTTTCCCTGACTTAATTGGGGTTCCTATAATAGTGCTTTGTTACTCTGACTGGTAGTGTATTCTTTGGTATTTTGTTTGTTGTATTTGTCTATATACAGATATCGATTCCATTTGGCATGATGTCAATGTGTGTGTAGTTGCTGTTCACAATGCTTTTCTGCAAATATTACAATATTTAAACAGAATACTTAGAAAATGGTTAAATTTTCATAGGAGGTTAGGTATAAATAAATTTGAGAGAAGAATAAAAGCAAAAATACTTAAAAATATACAACTTATTTTTTTTAAAAACCTTACATTCTTAATGTATATAAATCTATAAACCACGGATTTAATTTTCATTTTTTGTGCTCTCTATGTGATTGAAACAAAAATAGAACCAAACTCTGCCCTCAAAAAGCTTCCAAGGTATCTAAACTTGTATGTCATTGTGTGTTTTAAACTTTGTGAGTTTACGTGAAGGGGAATAAGTCAGTGTTGTGAACATTGGAGAAAAGCATCCCTGCTTTAAAAAATCCTGAATGTCGACTATATTGAACATTTTCTGGCTTATGTAATTTCATAAGTATTTACAAATGAGGCACATATCTTATTTAATGAAGACAGCAACATAGGAAAATAGACAATAGCAAGGGAACTAACGGAACTAATTATTAAATAGTATACCTTCATCTGTTCAGCATCAAATTATCTCACATTATGCATATTTAGCAGAATATTAATATTTACCTCTTTTAAAATATAATTAACTTGGAAACCTTGTATTTTTTTCTTTTCATTGACTTTTGAATGAAAGAAAACTAAGCATTGCTTTTTTACCTTTTCTACTGGAATACTGGGAATTTGAGCTTTTTCTGCTGGAAGAAAAAGCCAATTAAAAAATATATTTTTACTCAGGGTATATTGTGAAATTTACAAAAAAATATTTTACTTTGCTTGGTGAACAGATAGAGTATTGGAAGTTAGCAGTTAGGGTGCACATCTCAGAGCAGATTCTAGGGTAAGGAAATAAGTCAATAAAAAAGTCAGTAGACCCAGAAAATAACCAGAGCATAAAGAGTTGAGTTCCCTTTCACCAGCCAGTAAGACTTCATTTAAATGAGAGAGCTCCATTATCTCCCATTGGCAGAAAGAACTAGTGGCTCTCTGTAACAGCATCCTTTTATTTAGTTGCCTGCCATGTGACAAGGCTGACTGTGCCCTCCATTTTATTACCTCATTGGCATTGTTGAAACCCCGATTACAGATGGTATTTATGAGAAAATACAAGTTTTTGAAAAAGTATGTTTATTAATATTTGTTTTTACGCTAAGTAAAAAATTCAATACTTTTTGAATTTATGACAACTTTTGCCTTTTAATATCCAGTACCTAAGTATTGATCTGTATTGCAAAGCACTGTACTTATTCCACTAGGTAATTACTGGGAAATATACAGAATCGTGTGTTTGTGCGTGCGTGCGTGTGTGTGTGTGTGTTGGTTTTCATGATTCAATAAGTTGATTTAAATAAATAATGTATTTCACATAGTAAGCACCCAATACATTTTAGTGTTGCTGTTATATTTATTATTAGGCCCCCATATTAAGTGAGCCCTAAATTTTAGCTTGTGCACTTCCTTTTTTTTAGGAATGAATGTAACTCTTGTATAGCCATATCTAAGAAATTGCACCTGACACAGTTAAACAAGCAAGGAAATCTATTTAATATGATTGCAATAGGACAGAGAGACTGAGCTGAACTCCACTGAAATAAAAGGCAGGAAGATGCTTAGGCACTGGGGTGAGCTAGTAGAAAAACACTGTAGGACTATAGAGATCGATGTGATTAGGCCAATAATTAGAATGTTAGTGCTAATTGTCACTCACTGAAGTTGTGCTCCTACCTTCCCACTGAGACTAGAAGATAAGAGTAGGCAGTACCTCCTTTGATTACATTTCAAAAGGATAGCTCCCAGAGAAAACATTCCTTGAGAAACATTCTTTGGGTTTTAAAAACTCATGCAAAGCTGGGAGAAGATTTACATTTCAAAGGAGAAAAAGGGCTAAATTACAAGTTTTCTAAAGTAAATGCTCTGAGAAAAGGGAGGTCAGCCCTATAGTCAGGAAGAAATCTTTCTAAAGTTAACTAAAGCTGACAGGAACATTAAGGCAGTCTTGGTGAGCTCATATATATTAATATAAAATGAGGAAGAGGTGGGTCAAAGTTTCTTCTGAACTATCCTGAAAAAATGATTTGCCCTTAGATTAACTGGGATTATAATTAGCCTGGAATTTAGAAAAACTGAAAGTTCAGAATAATTTTTAAAGAGGAAATATACTCTTTTATTTTGATAAAAACAAAGCAATACTAAAAAGAAAATTTGCCAAGTAAAAATTCTTCTATATTCCTTTATTTTTATTATTAGTAAGCAATGTTACTGAAGAGACATGATTCAGGAATCCGTACAAAGTAGATAGAGCAAATATCAAAGTTAAAGCAAGGATTTTCTTGAACTCTGAGCAGATAAATTATGCCTTTGAAGCATATTCTCTATTCACCTAATGGGCAAAGCTTAATGTAATGGTTGCTTAATGTTTATCTAGATGGAGCAATATGAAGAAATTCCAGTACTGAGCCATTTTTAAAGTCTTTTAATGACAATCTAAGGAACTATGCTGGTATCTTTAATAGATTTGAAATGATTAAATGGAGAATAACAGCACATTAAAAGTCATCTGAAAATCCATGAGGCATGTCCTCAGTAAAACAATCATCAAGCCAGATTTTTAAAATAGAGATGACTGAATGCCAAAATAGAAGGTCAAACTATGCTAGAATTTAAAATTAAATATACAGCCTTCACTGGAAGACATATATTGAAGTTATGAAGGTAAAAAAAAAAGTTCTAAATGTACTCAGAAGAGGATAACATGAATATTCAAGTCTTTGTATGAGTTGTTAACAAAAGGATCATTGTCTCCATTTCATAAGGGCTTAATTTATGATAAATCTTGTATATTTGTGTTTTTAGGTGAATTAGATTAGACAAAATAATGAAAATCATTTTTAAAATGAGAATTGGCAGCATCAAATATTTCCAAATTTGATCATCTATATTTTTACTATATTTAATAGAAATCTGAATAAAATTTGATTTTTTACCTTATAATATTTCTACTGAAAATAGTGTAACCACCCAACGGGTTCACCTTGTCTGTTGTCTAGACAGAGCCGATTTCTGAAGACAGGGGAATTCCAATGGAGAAAGCGTAATTCACGCAGAGCTGGATGTGCAGGAGACCGGAGTTTTATTATTACTCAAATCAGTCTCCCTGAGCATTCAGGGATCTGCGTTTTTAAAGATAATTTGGCAGGTAGTGGCTCTAACCCATAATCTTGTAGCTAATTTGTTAGTCCTGCAAAGACAGACTGGTCCCCAGGCAAGAAGGGGGTCTTTTCAAGAAAGGGCTATTATCAATTTTGTTTCAGAGTCAAACCATAGACTGAATTCCTTCCCAAGGTTAGTTCGGCCGATGCCCAGGAATGAACAAGGACAGCTTAAAGGTTAGAAGCAAGATGGAGTCAGTTAAGTCTGATCTCTTTCACTGTCATAATTTCCTCAGTTATAATTTTTGTAAAGGCAGTTTCAATCGGATAAATGTGTTATCTGTAATCATAAACAAATGTCAAATAATAGTAACCTGAAAAGTATTTTCACTCGCGTCCATGTGAAGAGACCACCAAACAGGCTTTGTGTGAGCAACATGGCTGTTTATTTCACCTGGGTGCAGGCAGGCTGAGTCCAAAAAGAGAGTCAGCGAAGGGAGATAGGGGTGGGGCCGTTTTATAGGATTTGGGTAGATAAAGGAAAATTACAAAGGGGGTTGTTCTCTGGCGGGCAGGAGTGAGGGTCACAAGGTACTCAGTGGGGGAGCTTTTGAGCCAGGATGAGCCAGGAGAAGGAATTTCACAAGACAATGTCATCAGTTAAGGCAGGAACAGGCCATTTTCACTTCTTTTGTGGTGGAATGTCATGAGTTAAGGCAGGAACTGGCCATCTGGATGTGTACATGCAGGTCACAGGGGATATGATGGCTTAGCTTGGGCTCAGAGGCCTGACATTCCTGTCTTCTTATATTAATAAGAAAAAAAAATGAAATAGTGGTAAAGTGTTGGGACGGTGAAAATTTTTGCGGGGGGAATGGAGAGATAATGGGCGATGTTTCTCAGGGCTGCTTCAAGTGGGATTAGGGGCAGCGTGGGAACCTAGAGTGGGAGAGATTAAGCTGAAGGAAGATTCTGTGGTAAGGGGTGATATTGTGGGGTTGTTAGAAGAAACATTTGTCATTTAGAATTATTGGTGATGGCCTGGATATAGTTTTGTATGAATTGAAAAATGGAATAACAGAAGGAGAAAAACAGGTATAAAAGGTCTAAGAATTGGGATGACTCAGGACATCTGATTAGAGAGTGCCTAAGGAGATTCAGCATAGTCCTGCCAGCAAAGATTATTTATTTACTTCAAGAGTTAAGAGTGGCAGTTTGGGGATAGCACCAGGAGATATCAGCTGTGATGGCTTGGAGAAACAGTGTAAACCGGCAGTGTAAACAAGAGCAGGGCATGTATGAGTAGTTGAGAATGGTGAATAGGAGTATGACTAGACAGAAGATAGTAGGGATGACAAGTTTTTTTGGGGCGCAGTCTAAGTTGGTCTGGTGTCTGGAATGAGACTGGGGCCTAATAAAAAGGAGCGTCTATACAGGAGCTCAAATGGGCTATACCTTGTAGCATTCTGAGGACAGGTCTGACTTCTGAGAAGGGAAAGTCGTAAAAGTATTGTCCAGTCCTTTTTAAGTTGGTGGCTGAGCTTGGTGAGGTGTGTTTTTAAAAGACCTTTAGTCCATTCTACTTTTCCTGAAGACAGAGGACTGAAAGGGATATAAAGGTTTCACTGAATACTAAGAGCCTGAAAAACTGCTTGGTTGATTTGACTAATAAAGGCTGGTCTGTTATCAGACTGTATAGAGGTGGGAAGGCTAAACTGAGGAATTATGTCTGGCAGAAGGGAAGAAATGACTGTGGTGGTCTTCACAGACCCTGTAGGAAAGACCTTTACCTATCCAGTGAAAGTGTCTACCTAGACTAAGAGGTATTTTAGTTCTCTGACCTGGGGCATGTTGAGTAAAGCTAATTTGCCAGTCCTAGGTGGGGGCAAATCCTTGAGCTTGATGTGTAGGGAAGGGAGGGGGCCTGAATAATCCCTGAGGAGTAGTAGAATAGCAGATGGAACACTGAGAAGTTATTTCCTTGAGGATAGATTTCCACGATGGAAAGGAAATGAGAGGTTCTAAGAGGCGGGCTAGTGGCTTGTACTATAGCATAGCCTGCCCTTGCTGGTGTGTGGCGATTAGGCCTGGTGGAGCTGCCATCAATAAATCAAACGTGATCAGGGTGAGGAACAGGAAAGAAGGAAATATGGGTGAATGTCAGGTGGATCAGAGAGATACAGTCATGGGGGTCAGGTGTGGTATCAGGAATAATGTGGGAGGCCAGATTGAAGTCCGGCCCAGGAACAGTGGTAATTGTGGGACTTAACAAAGAGTGAGTACAGCTGAAGGAGCCGGGGAGCAGAAAGTATATGCATCAGGTATGAGGAAGAAAATAGATTTTGGAAGTTATGAGAAATGTAGAGAGTAAGTTGAGCATAGTTTGTGATTTTGAGGGCCTCTAAAAGTATTAGGGCGGCAGCAGCCGCTGCACGGAGACTTGATGGCTATGCTAAAACAGTAAGGTCAAGTTATTTGCACAGAGAGGCTGCAGGGTGCGGTCCTGGCTCTTGTGTAAGAATTCTGACCGCACTAACCATGCCTAGGAAGGAAAGGAGTTGTTGTTTTGTAAGGGATTGAGGTTTGGGAGATTAATCGGACACGACCAGCAGGGAAAGCACATGTGTTTTTATGAGAATTATGCCGAGATAGGTAATAGATGAGGATGAAATTTGGGCTTGATTGAAATAATGGGAGCTGTCTGTGAAGCCTTGCGGCAGAACAGTCCAGGTAATTTGCTGAGCCTAATGGGTGTCAGGGTCAGTCCAAGTGAAAGTGAAGAGAGGCTGGGATGACGGGTGCAAAGGAATAGTAAAGAAAGCATGTTTGAGATCCAAAACAGAATAATGGATTGTGGAGGGAGGTATTGAGGATAGGAGAGTATATGGGATTGGCACCATGGGGTGGATAGGCAAAACAATTTGGTTGATAAGGCATAGATCCTGAACTAACTTGTAAGGCTTGCCTGGTTTTAGGACAGGTAAAATGGGGGAATTGTAAGGAGAGTTTATAGGCTTTAAGAGGCCATGCTGTAGCAGGCGACTGATAACAGGCTTTAATCCTATCAAAGCGTGCTGTGGGATGGGATATTGGCATTGAGCAGGGTAAGGGTGATTAGGTTTTAATGAGATGGTAAGGGGTGCATGATCGGTTGCCAAGGAGGGAGTAGAGGCATCTTATACTTGTGGGTTAAGGTGGGGGAATACAAGAGGAGGACGCAAAGGAGGCTTTGGGTTGGGAAGAAGGGCAACAGTGAGATGTAGCTGTAATCCAGGAATAGTCAGGGAAGCAGATAATTTAGTTAAAGTGTTTTGGCCTAATAAGGGAACTGGGCAGGTGGGGATAACTAAAAGGAGTGCTTAAAAGAGTATTGTCTAAGTTGGCACCAGAGTTGGGGAGTTTTAAGAGGTTTAGAAGCCTGGCTGTCAATACCCACAACAGTTATGGAGGCAAGGGAAACAGGCCCTTGAAAAGAAGGTAATGTGGAGTGGGTAGCCTCCGTATTGATTAAGAAAGGGATGGACTTACCTTCCACTGTGAGAGTTACCTGAAGCTCGGCGTCCCTGATTGTCTAGGGGGCTTCTGAGGTGATCAGCCATCATCAGTCTTCAGCCGCTAAGCCAAGAAGATCTGGGAAGGAGTCAGAGAGCCTTGGGCCAGAGTTCCAGGGGCTCTGGGAGTGGCTGCCAGGTGAGTTGGACAGTCTGATTTCCAGTGGGGTCCCACACAGATAGGACGCGGCTTAGGAGGAATCCTGGGCTGCAGGCATTCCTCGGCCTGGTGGCCAGATTTCTGGCAATTATAGGAAGCTCCTGGGGGAGGAGGTTCTGGAGGAATGCGTGGCTGCTGCGATTCAGGCATCTGGAAGTTCTTGTGTGCTGGAGATGTGGCTGGGGTTTGTCTCACAGTGGAGGCAAGGAATTGCAACTTTTTTCTATTATTGTACACCTTGAAGGTGAGGTTAATTAAATCCTGTTGTGGGGTTTGAGGGACGGAATTTAATTTTTGGAGTTTTATTTAATGTCGGGAGCAGATTGGGTAATAAAATGTATTTTGAGAATAAGACGGCCTTTTGACCTTTTAGGGTCTAGGGCTGTAAAATGTCTCAGGGTTGCTGCCAAATGAGTCATGAACTGGGCTGGGTTTCTATATTTGATGAAAAAGAGCCTAAACACTATCTGATTTGGGACAAAGAAAAAGGAGCATTAATCTTGATTATGCCTTTAGCTCCAGTCACCTTTTTAAGAGTACATTGCTGGGCAGGTGGGGGAGGGCTAGTCACGGAATGAAACTGTAAGCCGGACCGGGTGTGAGGAGGGGAGGTGATAAAAGGATTATAGGGTGGAGGAGCGGAGGCTGAGGAAGAATTGGGACCTAGCTCGGCCTGGCAAGGAGCAGCCTGGGGAGGAGGGGAGAGGTCAGATGGGTCTGTAGAAAAGGAAGATTAGAAAGACTCAGCGACGCTTGGGGTTGGGATGAGGGGACAGGTGGGAGGGAAAGAAGGAAGATTTGGGATGAGTTGCATTGGGAACAGAGACTAGAGAGGGACCGATGTGTAAAAGAATGCCTGGACATCAGGCACCTCAGACCATTTGCCCATTTTATGACAAGAATTATTTAGATCTTGTAGGATGGGAAAATTGAAAGTGCCATTTTCTGGCTATTTGGAACTACTGTCGAGTTTGTATTGGGGTCAAGTGGCATTGCAGAAGAAAATAAGATGCTTAGATTTTAGGTCAGGTGAGAGTTGAAGAGGTTTTAAGTTTTTGAGGACACAGGCTAAGGGAGAAGAAGGAGGAATGGAGGGTGGAAGGTCGCCCATAGTGAAGGAAGCAAGCCTAGAGAAAAGAGAGAGTAGAGACATGGACGGAAGGGGTTCGTGGGTTTTTACCTTCCAGAAAAGTGGGAAAGGGGTTGAGGCATGGAAATAAGGGATTGGGGCGCAGAGATACGAGGTTGGGGTACTTGCCCCTCCTCTAGAAATGTAGGACTTGCGGCTCAGGGTGAAGGAGAAGGGGTTGGGGGTTTCTTGCCCCCCAGAAAGGCGGAGAAGGTGTAGAGACACGGAGAGAAGGGTTTGGGGTACTTGCCCCTTCCCCAGAAAAGAGGGACTTGCTGCTAAGGGTGAAGGACCAAGGCAGGCATCCCTGCGTGGTCTGACACCTTTGAAACCTGGGTGAATAATCAGAGAGGCATCCCTGCAATGATTAAACACCAAGGGAAGGCTGCCTTTCCTAGTCCGTGACCAGCGCCGGAGTTTTGGGTCCACGGATAAAACGTGTCTCCTTTGTCTCTACCAGAATATGAAAGGAATTGAAATTAAGAGAAGGGAGAGATTGAAGGGTGGAAAGGAGAAAGTGGTTGAGGGATAGTGAGAGAGGTTGGAGAAGAGAGTAAGAAGAGGCCGCTTACCTGATTTAAAATTGGTGAGATGTTCCTTGGGCTGGTGGGTCTGAGGACCTGAGGTCGTACGTAGGTGGATCTTTTTCACAGAGCAAAGAACAGGAGGACAGGGGATTGATCTCCCAAGGGAGGTCCCCTGATCCGAGTCATGGCACCAAATTTCACTCGCGTCCGTGTGAAGAGACCACCAAACAGGCTTTGTGTGAGCAACATGGCTGTTTATTTCACCTGGGTGCAGGCAGGCTGAGTCCAAAAAGAGAGTCAGCGAAGGGAGATAGGGATGAGGCCGTTTTATAGGATTTGGGTAGATAAAGGAAAATTACAGTCAAACGGGGTTGTTCTCTGGTGGGCAGAGTGGGGGTCACAATGTGCTCAGTAGGGGAGCTTTTGAGCCAGGATGAGCCAGGAGAAGGAATTTCACAAGACAATGTCATCAGTTAAGGCAGGAACAGGCCATTTTCACTTCTTTTGTGGTGGAATGTCATGAGTTAAGGCAGGAACGGGTCATCTGGCTCACCACAGCCACTGACATTATTACAGTACAAGCCACCATCTCTCTCCTGAACTTCTATTAGATTGAACTACGTAGCATTGCTGCTATTTTATAATTGTTGAGCTACCAAATGGCATACATGTACATACCTGTACATGGCACACATACTGGGTTCACGCCATTGCATTCCAGCCTGGGCAACAAGAGCAAAACTCTATCTCAAAAAAAAAAAAAAAAAGAATTACATTTTGAGCATGAGTTTTTCATTTTTTATTCTTTTCACTCATTCATCCTTCAGAGAGTATACACAATGCCTATACAACAGAACAAGTAACAAATGGAGGCTAACAGTAAGATGAACCAAATGTTGCAATCAATAACAATTTTGAAAAGCAATATATCATTATAACTAGTTGAACACATGTTCAAAAATAAGGGAAGCTATGTTTATGTAGAATGAGTGGAGAAGAAATTTAAACATAAAAAAAAGTGTTCATAAAAGAACCAAACGTAAACTTTTAAACTGAAAAATACTATATCTGAAATGTGAAATTCATCAGATTGGTTCAACAGCAAATTAGAGATAAAAGGTAGAGCTATTAAAGGCTGATAAATATTATTCAATCTAAAAGATAATTAAAAAAATTAACACAAACTCAAAAATTGCCAGACATTATTAAAAAACCTAACATGCATAATTGGTAGTCCCAGAAGGAGAAGAGCGAACGGAAAAATTTTATTTTAATAGATAAAGCTTGAAAACTCCTCAGACTTGAAAAACAAACTTCTTACAAATTTCACTTTAAACTCAACATTGTAACATTGTGTGTTGGTTGATAACATAGATGTAATATGTGTGTACGTATAGATAGATATGGCATTAAAGATAGGAGTGTGGTCATACACAGTTGTAAGATCCTCAAATTTCATGTAAAGTGGAACATTATTGAATCTTAGTAGACTGTGAAAAGTAAAAGAATGTGATATTCTTAGAGAAACCATATAATATAATTTGGAGAGATTTAGCTAAAAAGCTTAACTATTAATTACCTTCCAAATTCTAATAAACACGAACAAAGTAAAAAAGGAGAAACAGGAAAAAATTGGAATAATCAATAAACAGAAAACAGTACAAATATATTGAACCATATCATTAATTATCTTAAAAGTAAGTGAAACAAAGTACAGAGGCTTCAAGATTTATAAGATGAGAAAAGACACCACTATATGCTTCCATAAAAGACTTAAGCTGAAGATAAATGAATGGAGGACTACACACAATAAATATAGAAACATATTAACAAAGATAAATGTTGAATAATGAAGAGATGGTCAACTTATCAGAAACATAAATAGAAGCTTCTGTGTAGTATTAGGGCTTTAAGATAAATTTTAAAACTTTAGCTTATAAGAATAAGAAATAAATATGTTTCATTTCAGCAATTGACATAACACCTAGCAATAAAAATCAGTGAAAATAATATTTAAATAATATTTTAAACCATGTAGGGCCAAGTGACAGCTATAAAGCTACACCAAATATATACAATATGCATCATTTACACAAAAATTGGCCATACACTAGGTCATAAAAGGATTCTCAATAAATACATAAGATTTTAAATGACTATGTTATTTGTTCTGGAGTATATGTTCTCTGAGAATGAAATTAAGTTAGAGATCAGTAAGATACATAGAACATTCTAGACTTTTGGAAAGTGTATAACACATTTGTTAATAGCCCAAGGTCAAAATAAAAAGTTACAAGAAAATAGGAAATAGTTTGCACTGAAAAGATTATGAAAATAAAACAGACGCTGGGTGCAGTGGCTCATGCCTATAATCCCAGCACTTTGGGAGGCCAAGGTGGGTGGATCACCTGAGGTCGGGAGTTTGAGACCTGCCTGACCAACATGGAGAAACCCCGTCTCTACTAAAAATACAAAATTAGCCCCGCATGGCGGCATATGCCTGTAATCCCAGCTACTCGGGAGGCTGAGGCAGGAGAATTGCTTGAACCCTGGAGGCGGAGTTTGCAGTGAGCTGAGATCACGCCATTGCACTCCAGCCTGGGATTCAAGAACGAAACTTTGTCTCAAAAATAGAAAAAAATAAAAAACAAAAGAAAACAGATGATGAACAGGATGCAGAAAAGCACTGCTCAGAAACAAATTTAACACTTGAAATATTTATATTAGAAAATTACAAATATCTACAATTCTAACATGATTCTAATTTAAGAAGCAGAAAAAAAACCAAAATAAATCTAAAAAATGGAAGAAAATAAATGAAAGAAAATTAACAGTAGAACTAAATATATAAAACAGGAAATTAAAAAAAATTTGGCTCATTGAAAAAGATCAATAAAATTTTGAAATGACAAGCTATAAAAATGATTATGACCATAGATATATATATATATATATATATATATATATATATATATATATATATATATATAGTAAATCTGAACTCAAGTCATTCTCAGACTTTATCTCTGCCAGGACTTTTCCTTCCTTTTTCTACCTAAACTCCAGAGCTATATTGATTTGGCTTTAATTTACCAAGGATACAATGTTACTGCAAGTCTTAGCATCATATTCCCTATTCTTTTATTATTGGTTCTACTACTACCAAAAGTAGTACTAACACTACAGCACACTGAAAATTCCTTTAAGTTTCTTAATCAATGCAAAGGTATTGGGAAGCAAACACGTATGTTCTTTTCTTACCCATAGGAAGTAGAGCAGGGGTCTGCAACCCCCAGGCCATAGATGGATACCGGTCCATGCCCTGTTAGGAGGTGGGCCACACAGCAGGAAATCAACAGCAGGCAAGTGAGCATTACCGCCTGAGCTCTACCTGAGCTCTGCCTGAGCTCTGATCCTATCAGATCAGCAGGTGCACTAGATTCTTATAGGGGCCTGAATTCTATTGTAAACTGCACATGTGAGGATGTAGATTGCCCACACCTTATGAGAATCTAATTAATGCCTGATGATTTGAGGTGGAAAAGTTTCATCCTGATATCATTGCCCACCACACCCTGCCTGTGGAAAAATTGTTTTCCACAGAACGGGTCCCTGGTGCCAAAAAGGTTGGGGACCAGGGCCATAGAGGATGGCTTCTAAACATTTTGTTTATTAAGAGTCTTGCATCCATTAAAGAAGAAAAAATCTTTTTCATGTAGGGTGAATATGATTACAGGTATAAATATGTATATATGAAATAGATGATACTCTGTTTCAAGTAAAAAATAAAAAGGGGCACTTTTTTTTCCTAAGTAAAATAAATCTCTTTAAGTTTTAATACAAAACCATTTTTTAAAAGCTAAAATTAAGGCAAAGACTTTCTGAATTGTTTTTAAACTTTTATCTTGTTTAGCAAGATCATTTTAAAATTACGACGTGTGTGTGACTGTATCTTTTTACATCTGCTATGCTCTCAGTCTTTATATTGCATGTTTAACACAGGCTCCATTGTTGAGATATAATTTACACTCTGAAGGACCATGAGACAATAATCCTTGCCTACATTTTAATTGGAATTTAATTACATTAAGTAGCCTGTTTATTAAAATATCTGTTCTTAAAAAGATTCTACAATAATCCCTTCTCATTCAATTTATAATCAAATTTGAGGCTATTATTTATTTCAGAGTTTTGTCATATCAGCAGTACTAATCTAGATGATAGATTAAATTTGGGTCTGTATGTGCATCAGAATTATTTATGCATGGGTTTGTGTATCTCAATTATGTGTACATATATTTCAGAATTATACACGTATAATGTGTATGTGCATGTGTATATCAGAATTCTATATGTATATGTGTTTCTATCAGAACTATATGTGCATATCAAAAATATGTAGGTATCAGATATATATTAGAATTTTCTCATGCTTAATTTTTATTGCATATTTTTTCAAATAACAATTTCTGAATAGTAATAATATATCTTCATTTTTCTATATATAAATTTAAACACCATGTCTAGTAATTTCCCCAAAGGTCAGAAGACAAGTTCTTAATCAAATCTGGCTTTTGCCATTTAAGATTTACATTTAGTCCATTCAGGAAGAACTGTTGTTTCCTCTCTGTCATCAATGATCATACGCATGTGTTTGGTGGTGGTTCTAGAACAGTTTCTATTTTAAGCCTGTTGTCTGGAATAATTATTATTATTCCCCCTTCTTACTCTTAAATATTCCTGTGTTTGAATAATAATGTAAGTGGTCTTCAGCCTCTAGCAGCATTTTATTTGTAAGGTTTATGCATCACCATGTCATCAGGAGTAGATACCTAGCCTCTGTCAACTCATCACCATGCACCTACTGAGATATAAGCCATATCTTTCTCACTCTGATTTTATCCACCTAGATTTCCTGGAGTACTACTCCAGTGACTCTTTTGTCCAGTCACTGGTCTGGGCAAACTAAACTGTCTTCTTTCAGACAACAAAGTTTCCATAAATCTGTTGGCTTTTTCAATCATTTTTTATTCCTCTCTGGCATATGTGAAAATTTGGATCTTCCCTTAAGACTCTCTCAAGTTATAGGAAAATGGGGATAAAAAGTAGCACTATGACTCTCTCTGCTTAGACCCATGATGCCACCCCTTGTACTCTATGAGCCTATCCTATTATGAATAGGTGCACAGAAAATATTTACTTTCAAAATCTCGCCTTGGAGGTTAGTATATTTCTTCTCAGTGTTTGGATTACTGACCTTACCTGGAAGTTGATTTTTCTCCCCATCCAGGACTAGACCTCTAGGTAGAATTGGGCACAGAGTCCTCATCACTGAATCAAAATATCTTGTAGCCTATTGATAGCAGCAGGAGACAGATGAATTCTGAGACAGACAGGGATGGGTCTCCAGTGAAACCTGACCTTCAAGCCAAAGACAATTTAAAGTCTGAAAGCTGAGCTGCCAGTTCCAGATGGAGTCCATGACTGGAGTGAGAACTTCCTTGATGCCTTTTAGCCAATTGAACGGTGCTTTTTCCAGGCCCGTATGGACAATTCAGCACACACTTACCCATTATGAGCCCATAAAAACCCAGGACTCAGCCTCGCAGATGGCTACCTGCTTTTGAGCCCCCTCTCAAACAGAAGGATACCCACTCTGGGTCCCTTCTTATGTTGAAAGCTTTTCTGTCACTCGATAAAAATCTTCTCTGCCTTGGTCACTCTCTGGTATTCATGTACCTCAGTCTTCGTGGTCATGGGACAAGAACCCAGAACCCGCTGAGCTGTAACACTATTACCTTCCCTCTGGCTCTTGTTTAACAGGGGAGAAAAAGCTGCTGGGTGCCACATGCTCTCGCTGGCCAAGCTGTGGGCAGTGGAACTGAATGAGATGTGATACTTCCTGGGGACTCAGACCTCTGTACTTCTCACACAAAAGGTGTTAACGCTCCTTGAAGCTCAGCAGTTGCTGGCATCTCCAAGTTTTTGGGTGACGCAGCATCCCCCTCATCCACACACTGGGACCCAAGGCAGAAGCCAGTCGCAACACACCTGGACTAGCCGCAGGTTGAGCACAAAGCCACTGCAGGCACAGAATCCTGGCTGATAGTGCGAGCAGCAGAGCACAGCATGCCAGGCTGAGTGGGTGGAGTGAGCCCAGCTGGCTTGAGCAAAGCCTGGGCAGAGGCACTGCCAGCCATGGAGAATTCCAGTTGGCAAAGTGGCACCAAAGAACCCCATGGTAATATTATAACTCTTCGTTTCCTCTAGCTCAGAAAATAGTTATTTAGTCCACATAATGTTTAGGGGGGCACAATGTGCATGCAAAAGAAAAGTTCAAATTTATCCCACTTGTTTTCTATCAAAATAACTATGTGAAATTGCTAAAATTCAAGAGTTTTTGAAGAGGGGGTATATTATGGTCCCAACATTAGCTCTTTCACTTAGAGGAAAAAAGCAGCTATATGAGTAAAGTATGCCAAATAAAGAGTGGAGTTGAAACACAGGGAGAAAAATAATTTTTAGTTAAGAATTCACTGTTCCATCACTCCATTTTCGATAGCGGAGTGGGGCTAACATAGTTTAAGCAACATGGTCACAAACTAGTAGCTTATTAAGATAATTATATGGTAGCACAAAGTAAGGAAAACAAAGTTTAAGGTGTCTTTAGTTTTTACATATTGCACAATATATTGCTATACATGATCAGAAAATGAGAGATTCCTAATACACAGGGCCCCAAAATAGAAAAAAAATTGTTTATCACTATAGGCAGTCAACATGGGTATAAAAAAAGTGAAGCCAGTCACCTGCAGGAACAGAACCAGTAGTGAGGTCATAGCTACAAAGTTTGGAACCTCTCTTAAAAGAAGAGTACAGCTATAGCTTTTCAAAATTTTCGAAAAGAGAGCTCTCATGGCACCACTGCACTCCAGCCTGGGCAACAGAGCGAGACTCCATCTCAAAAAATAAAATAAAATAAAAAAATAAAAACAAAATGAGTAATTTCTGACTATAATTTATTTCATATGAGAAAGTAACAGATTTTGTTGAAAGGCCCTTTGAGAGTAATACTTATCATTTGCTTGTGTCAACTTAGAATTGTGAAATTTTCAAAAGATAGTAACAATTTTGTTGGGTTATTAAAAAGGATAGAGTAGTCAGCCTTCCTTGATTTTCATTATTGTTCTTTGAGTGTTGCTCATGATTTGTGTTTGATTCTTTCCTTTTTTGGTGTTTATTACTTTTATTGTTTATTCATTAGGGTAAGAGTAAAAGCTCATGGTATGATAATCTTTACAGGAAATTACTTTCCCTCTCTTAACATACCCCTACAGATATACTAACCTAAAAATAGACAGAATTTTGCTCATGCCTTTCATTGCATAGCTGATCAAAAATTCACCTGACTCTTCAATTTCAGAATCAGTATGTATTTGAACTCTGTGTATGGCTTCATGATACAATGTAGTGGAATACTGAAAGAGAATCTATCTGGCATTGTCATGTAGTTGCCATTTTATTATTTATTTATTTATTTATTTATTTATTTTTTGAGACGGAGTCTCGCTCTGTCACCAAGGCTGGAGTGCAGCGGCTGATCTCGGCTCACTGCCAACTCCACCTCCCGGGTTCAGGCCATTCTCTTGCCTCAGCCTCCGAGTAGCTGGGATTACAGGCGCCCGCCACCACGCCCGGCTAATTTTTTGTATTTTTAGTAGAGATGGGGTTTCACCATGTTAGCCAGGGTGGTCTCGATCTCCTGACCTTGTGATCTGCCCGCCTTGGCCTCCCGAAGTGCTGGGATTACAGGCGTGAGCCACCGCGCCTGGCACATATAGTTGCCATTTTAAACCTGAATATAGTAATTTTGAGGATAATGACATACGTCAGGGAAAAGAAAAGAAACTACCATTGAAATATTATTATTGGGTACTCTGTAGTTTTTAAAAAGTAAATCATGTAATAAAAACTTAAAATGCCAAAAACCGTCAAGGCACCAAATACCTGATTAGATAAACAAAGGCAAATCTACTAACATTTCATTTCAAAACTTGCATTTTATACAAGCATTTTCTTTCTTTTTTTTTTTTTTAGAGTCTCACTCTGCCGCCGAGGCTGGAGTGCAGTGGCGCGATCTTGGCTCAATGCAAGCTATGCCTCCTGGGTTCACGCCATTCTCCGGCCTCAGCCTCCCGAGTAGCTGGAACTACAGGCATCCGCCACCAAGTTCGGCTAATTTTTATTTTTTTATTTTTTTGTATTTTTAGTAGAGACGGGGTTTTACAGGGTTAGCCATGATGGTCTCGATCTCCTGACTTCGTGATCCGCCCGCCTTGCCTCACAAAGTGCTGGGATTACTGGCGTGAGCCACCGCGCCTGGCCACAAGCATTTTCTTAAATAAGTGAGGTGAAACAACAAAGTCACCTGAAGCAAGTTTCAAATAGGATACAGAAGTAACTAAATCTTAAAGTTAAAAATATCAGAATACATCTAGCAAAAAAAGATTTAAAATATTACATATATTTAAAAATCAATATAATATTATGGGCATACATATTTTGTTGACAATTTAAAAAATATTTAGCATGTACTTGAATATTTGAAATTATATAAAACCAATTAAAATGTATTTGGCAGAAAATGCAGGTATTTCAGGTAACATAATCAGAGTACACTTAAAGCCTTAGAGAAATTAAAAAAAAAAAAAAACTTCACAGTATTACTATGTTTGACAATTCTGATTACTCATATATTAAAAAATTAAGTCATTATAGGATACTAGAAGTCTCAACTGATTGAAAACATAACCTTGTATTATATTCTAGTATAATGCATACTAATTATACGCATACCAGCATATATTAAAGAATCAAACATTTCAGGCCAATTTTTATTGGGAAATTTTTGTCTTCCACCTATTTCTGTCAGAAATTTATTAACCAAGGTGTTGGTAATGAAGTAAAATTCACATGACATAAAATTCACCACTTTAAAAAATATAATTCAGCCACATTAGGTACATATATAATGTTGTTTAACCACCACCATCTATTTTCAAAACATTTTTTTGTCTCAGAAGAAAATGCAATACCCATTAATCACTTCCCATCGTTCCCTCCCCTCAGTCTCTGAAAACCATCATTTTGCTTTTTGTCCGTATGGATTTACCTGTTCTGAATGTTACACACAAATAGAATCCTAAATATGTATATGTGTTTATACACACACATACACACACACACACGCACCATATTTTGTTTATTCATTAATCTGTTGATGAACATTTGGCATGTTTTCACTTTTGGCTACTGTCAGTAGTCTTTCCAAAATGTCTTGGGGAAGTAAATATCTTGAAGTGGAATTGCTGTGTAATATGATTATTCTACGTTTAAATTTGACAGAAGAACTGCCAAAATTCCCACCATGGCTGCAACACTATACATTCCTATCAGCGACGTGCAAAGGATTCCAATTTCTACATATCCTTCCAAACACTTTTTATTTTCTTTTTAAAAAGTCATTATAGTCATTCATGGATTTGAAATCGTATCTCATTGTAGTTTTGATTTGTATTTCCCTAATGGTCAATGATGTTAAACACCTTTTATGAATTTTAAGCGACGTCTTTTATGATAATATTTTCCCAGTGTGATACTGCCAGTTTTTTCCCCCATGGTAAAGGATAATTATGAACATTGCAGAAATTTCCAAACTCTCTAAAATATGATTACTTTTAAAAAGATATAATTAAAAATGTGTATTAAAATCACCTTAACAAAATTCAATGACAAAGCCTGAAAATATTTAAAATGTCTTAGCTTCATTTTAATGTGAAAAAACATACAAATTCATAAGCAAACTCTAAAAATGCGGCCAATAAGCAAACAATAAGGCTTGATAATGTATATACACATTAAAATGCATAAGTAGCCATATTTAGCATGCTTGAACTCTAAAATGAAAAATCAAAACTGATGAATTTATGGTATATACGTAAGGTATGAATGTAAACTTTCTGAGAAACTACTTTTATAATGTGTATTAAGAGTCTTCAAACACCTTCATTCCAATTGATCTCAGGATTTCTTTGTAAAATTTATCCAACAAATCATCAGATAAAGTAAAAACATCAATAAATATCCACCTCACCAAAATATTATTTATCTCTGAGTAGTAAATATTATGCTCCTGTTTGTCGTAGTTTTAGCACTGCTCAAAGGTTAGTTTGGTTCAAGTAAAATGAAGTTTTTTTCTGGATTAAAAATGGTTGACTGTGGGCATTTACGTATGGTGTAACCTATATAATACTTACGTTAAAAAAATTACAGTAAAAAAAGTGTTAGAACTCAATATTAGAAAAACATGCACCAAATTTGTTTGGTTTTGGTGAATTATAAGATGTGGTGGCTGGTGGTGTTTTTGCCCACCATTCTGTTTGTTACCCTTCCTCTATAATTTTAATGCCTTTCTTTGAAGAACTGGTATATTTTCCATAGTATATTCCAGCTACATCTAAACTTACAGGATAAAATACATATCATTTAGCTTTTGTTGCATAACAAAACATCTCAAAGCTTCATGTCTCAGAGCAAAATCGAATTTATTTGCTTGAAATCCTGTGGATCAGCCAGTGTTATTTTAGACTGGTCCAGGTGGGCTGATCTCTGTGGTAAGCTAATAGCTTGCTTGACTGTGAAGGGATGGTCAGAGATATCCTCACCCTTATACCTGGGGTCTCATCACTGACTTATGGGATTGCTGAGGCCTGTCTATACATGGTCTTTCCTCCCCAAATGGGCAAACCTTGGATTATTCACATAGTGGAAAAGCGTAGGGTAGAAATAAAGGGGCAAGCCCAGAGCACAAGCACTTTTCAGTTCTCTGCTAGTATCATAATTGCTAATGACAATTAGATGAAATAATAAGACCCAAGTCCAGATTCAAGAGTGGAAAATAGATTCCATTTCTTCGTGGGATAAACTGCAAAATATTATATTTTCCAATCAGAACAGAAGTGTTTTTCTGTTGTGGTGTGTTGTTTTTCCTATTTACTCACAGGGACTAAGCATCTGATTCTGAGCATCTTAATATATGAAAGTAAATGGTGGCAGAATGAATGTGGCTTATTACTTCCACGCCTTTTATTGAATCTGGAAAGCATAAGTTTTCCATTAGGGAGATTGTTGGCTATATGTGAAGAATATTCAAATTTCTGTTAAATAATAGTAACTGTGTGTTTGAGTGTCCTTAAAAAGATATCTATGAGAGACCTGTAGACCATTTTCTTTCCTATCCTAATAACAACAAGCTTTGAAGATGAGTGGTGAAGGTGGGTCTGAATTACCAGATCAAATTTACTGTGAATGACTCCTCCTTTCACAACTTTGAAATCAATGGACTGATGCAGAAATAAGAGTAATGCCCATTTTAAATGCTTACAATGTTTTCAAGTCTGTCATATGTGAATTTTTGTTCTATTGAACACTGCAGCAATGAGTTTGAAACTTTTTTTTTTTTTTCTGAGACGGGGTCTCGCTCTGTCGCCCAGGCTGGAGTGCAGTGGCGCGATCTCAGCTCACTGCAAGCTCCGCCTCCTGGGTTCACGCCATTCTCCTGCCTCAGCCTCTCCGAGTAGCTGGGACTACAGGCGACCGCCACCACGCCTGGCTAATTTTTTATATTTTTAGTAGAGACGGGATTTCACTGTGGTCTCCATCTCCTGACCTTGTGATCTGCCCGCCTCGGCCTCCCAAAGTGCTGGGATTACAAGCGTGAGCCACCGCGCCCAGCCGAGTTTGAAACTTCAAAGTGGCACTCATAACAGAAGAGGTAGTGCCTTGTGGACTACTTTAAGAAAGCACAATAGGATATCTACACCATTACTTAGTTTCTGGATATCACCCATAGCATTGCATTTAGAGCATTAATAAAGATTGTAGTAGAAAACATTGGGGTAAATTAAATAAATAAACCAGTGTATTTGAGCAGCTAGTGCAAAGAGCCTAAACTATGAATGCACACTAGAAGATGTCAATAAATTGTAAGAAAATAAACCTAGAAGAAGTGGGTAGTAGAAATCTGTAACAGAAAAAGATTGATAAACTCAAAAATTTGTATTGACTATAGTAGAACTCCAAAATTGAATATCTGAAATTGGTTATGATACATGTAAGTTGGGAATAATAATACTTATTTGCAATTTTTGTGAAGATTTATTTGAAGCACTAAAAAAAACCACATTTTCCTAAACACAAGTTTAATAAATAATGCTTTATTGTCTACTATAGAGAGCTGAAACACAACTTCTTAAGACAATAACAATCACTGACACCAGAGTCTTAGTTATAAGAAGAGAGAGGTTTGAAGCCCAGGAATTTGGAATAGAATAGGATTGGCATTGAATTGAGATGAAAGTATTCAGGAAGGGATCTAGTAGATTAAATACTGTATTAAATTGGCTTACCAACTTTTTCAGAGGAGTAAACTCAAGAATCTATGAACAAAGACTAATTTTATGGGATGTAGTATGTTCATTTTCATGAATGTACATATTTGTTTCTAAGACTTTCAGGCTTAATTATCTAAATAACAGGAATTTATAGTTAGAAATGCTAAAATCTCTTCACAAAGTACTTTAGGCATTTAGAAGCAGAGCTGAAATCATAATTTATGTATTCCTAGTTATATATTCAATTAGTTGGACTTATTCAAAAATTCCTGATTGAGTTGAAACAGAGCAGGTATTGAATTGGTTATTGTACGGAGTGAACCATATATGCTAATATAAAATTCAGTGCCCAAGTAAAAATATTTAATTTTAGATGAAGTTTTTCCCAATGAATAACATCTTTAACAGCCCATTTCTAGAAAAATTATAATGGAAGAATTGGCAGTTAGACTAACGAGTTTAAATTTTTATATCCCAAATAATTTTGTCTTATATACAATATGTACCTTCAAATAAATTTGTTTTAATAATAAAGAGAAATAGTGCTCACGGATTGCTTGAAGTCAACAGCACATTGCTGTTACATGTGGTTCTTTAAAAGTATGATGGTTCTTGTTTTCTGTCAAACTCCCCTGAGCTTAAACGGAAATATGGCAACAAAACTTTGACAATTTCTCATAAAAGCAATTCTGAATGTGGTGAAATCTACTCTAAAATCTCAGTGTGAATATTGAACAACCAGTTTATTATGGATAGATTTTTACCCATATAAATAATAACGTCTAAAATAAATAAAAAATTCCTGATCAAGAATCTCTAACATACTTTAAAGTCAAAAATGGCAACAACATAAAATCTCTATAGACCTGACAGTCTGATGAAAAAGTTCCCATTGTGGCACTATCTTTTAGAAAATATATAAATCAAGTGATTACAACCACTTTTTCTTTTTTAAATTGGCCTGTAAAGTTACTGGCAGAAAATCTTTAAATTCCAAATGAAAAATAATAATGCAATAACCACACTCAGCTATGACCTGAAAAAATGTATAACAATCAATGTAATAAAGACTGTCTAACTTGAGTGTTTTTTTTTTTAAAG
The DNA here is from genome assembly GCF_000001405.40 of Homo sapiens. Taxonomy (NCBI): domain Eukaryota; kingdom Metazoa; phylum Chordata; class Mammalia; order Primates; family Hominidae; genus Homo; species Homo sapiens. The sequence goes on from NC_000004.12 coordinate 115,994,233, forward strand.
ACAGAATAATACATCCATATATAAAGGTCATTTTGCCAGCCAAATATTCTCTGCAGGGGAAAAAATGCTGATAAACATTCATTTTTCTTAGGTTGTAATATATTTTTATATCCTAGAAATGCAAGAATTTTGTTTCCAATGTTTAAAATAATCCTCTAGGATATGAAAACATCTCTGCAGGAGGTTATTGTAAATATATGTATCATTCACCTTGTATGTTTGTGAGGAAAAAATAGTTTTAAGCATTAAATATTCTAAACTACCATGAGTTTAAAAGTCTATGTTTGTGGAAAAATGAAAAAAATAAATATAAAATTCTTGGCTGAGAAAAGCCTTTAATATAGACATACTATAATAATTTATGTGTATTCTGGATATCCATGCCTAGCAGAAGATCCCTTGTCTTTTCTTGAAGAACCATTGATATCGATACTTCAAACGAAAATCAAGAGATAGTCCACTATGTTCTAAACAGAAGTTTATACAAGTTGTACAAAAAAGTTATTTATTATCTCTAAATTTTATATTAAAATTTTCACTAAAATGCTTTATAGTGAAGATACCATAGCTGTCCCTGTAAATTACATACCATTGCACACTACATAGATGGATCAGAAGGTATAGATGAATCTTTTAAAAAATTGAATTTCATGTTAACATGATGGCATACACTATTTGTGTTGAAGTTCTTTCCATTAAGCACATTTTTCGATGGATGTTGGGGCAGGGTTTGGTTTTGGGATGAAACTGTTCCACCTCAGATTATCAGGCATTAGATTCTCATAAGGAGTGCACAACCTAGAGCCCTCACATGTACAGTTCATAATAGGGTTTGTGCTCCTATGAGAGGCTAATGCAGCTGCTAATCTGACAGGAGGCGAAGCTCAGGCAGTTGTGCTTGCTCGCCTGCCACTCACCTCCTTCTGAGCAACCTGGTTTCTAACAGGCCGTGGACCAGTATCAGTCCATGGCCCAGGAGTTGGGGACCTTTTCTTTAGAGTAGTTTTTCTTATGTTATTGTGATATAGTATATAACGTATAGTAGAAAATACATAAGTGTTAATGTCAATCCAAATTTAGAGTTAGACTGGGCTCTGCTACTTCTTACTCTGTGATCATGGGAAATTTTATTAACCTTTTTACTGTGTTATTTGTATCACATCTGGGAAGGTTGTTGAGAATTACATCTAGTGCTTGTAAATCCCTTGCTATGTCATAAGTATTCAATAGATTATAGATAATTTAGTTACAGTATTCTACATTAATATTGAACCTATTATTATTGAAACCTTAATTTCTTGGTCTGAGCTTTTATTTATTGAGGGCCTATTATATGCTTGAAATGAAAAAGAGCTAAAAACACCAAAATGAAAACACAGACAAATAACCCCCTGCTCTTAGAATCTTTCTGGCAGAAAAGAGAAACATTAAATATATCTGTCAGTAAAATTTTGTGAGTGGTTTAATCCAGAAACATATCAGCATAGCATAGGGGTATAAATTAAGGATATCTAGGGATATCATGTTAAGTTTGTCTGAGAAAGTGACAATTCAACTGAAATATAGATAAACAGTTGTAATTAGATCAGTGAAGGTGGAAAAGTGTAGAATTAAAACATTGACTCATAATCTATGAGTCTCAACTTTGGCTGTCCATGAGAATTAGCTGGAGAAGTTTTAAAAAATCCCACTGCAGACATCAACTAACATAAATCAGAAGCTCTGTGGATGAGATCTAGGCATAACGTTTTAATGATCCTCAGGTGATTCCAATGCACAGATAATTTTGAGAACAACTGACTCAGAGAAATAAAAACTATAAAATTTTAAAGAAATGATTTCAGTTGTGCTAAAGTATAGAATGAAAAAAATGTTAGAGACCAGTGTGCACAAATCCCAAGTTTAATTTTTTTAATTTAATTAGAGTGCTTCAGTTATTCAGTAATAGCTAATGAGATATGATGTAAACTTTCTTTTGACCACATTTGTGGCTCTTAACACCTTCCAATTTTTCTATTATGGTACCATATCATGTATTTTAATGTTCTGTTTGCTATCTTCTGGGCACATTCCTTTGTTAATGATGTTCTTATAGTGGGTTAATTAGGATATATCACAGTGCCCTAAAATGGGTCTGAACAGAAAAGACAGTGAAATACATTCACCTCACTTGCCCCATGTGGGGGATGTATTTGATACTTAACAAAGAATGCTGTGATGATTGAAATAAACTTGAATCTATAGAGTGCTGTGGAAAAAACACTGGACTTGATGACAAGAAATGATGTATGCAAATTGCTAACACCTCACAGAATGATGTTGGGAATTTGGACCTACTATTATAGAATAAAGTGAGCAAAGGAGAACAGTTCTATGAATGGCAATTTGTGGTAGTCAAATGGTTTCTGACATTTTTTTTCTACTTCTCTTTTTGTAACACGAAACACATTTTCTAAGGTCCTTTGCAATATTATGAGTTGGTCCTTTGCAATATTATGAGTTTATCTGCAAACTGTTTATCTATACAGTGTTAACACTGAATGGAAATATAATGAACACTAAGTGCAGTGTAAACATGAGTTTTCTTAAGCAGCTCAGTTCTTCCTAAACCATATTCTGAAAGCTATATTTTTTGACCTTGTGAAAGATAATTACCCTTATTATGTCTTTGACTTCAACTGTGTTTAAAAAAGCCATAGACAATTAACTATGCTATAGAAATTGTGAGATGCTTATAGAAATGCATCTAATTATGTTTTCATGATGCTTTGAAACACTTGAAAGAAATGTTATAAAACAGCAGAGGCTATTTTAAGTATAGTGTTTTCTTTTGTGATCATTACTGTTTAATTTTTATAGAAAATTAATAATCATTACTGGTGGCAAGTATCGGAGTCACATGGTGGTGAATCCGCATGGGTCTGCAGGAACCTTAATTCTTGCCTCCTTAGAAGAAAGCATTTGATTTTTTGTCCTTGCGATAGTTGGCTGAAAATGATGGTTTCCAGGGTGTGGGGAGCGGGGAGGGATAGCATTAGGAGATATAGCTAATGCTAAATGACGAGTTAATGGGTGCAGCACACCAACATGGCACATGTATACATATGTAACAAACCTGCACGTTGTGCACATGTACCCTAAAACTTAAAGTATAATAAAAATATAAAAAATAAAAAAAAAAGAAGAAAGAATTTGACTGACGGGCATAAGGCAGAAAAATAGACTGAGGCAAGTTTCAGAGCAGGAGTGGAAGTTTATTAAAAAGGTTTAGAACAGGAAGGAAAATAAAGAAAGGAAGGAAGGAAAATAAAGAAAGGAAGGAAGGAAAAGAAAGAAAGGAAGGAAAGTACACTTGGAAGAGGGCCAGGCGGATGACTTGAAACCAAGTGTACCACTTGACCTCTTGACTTGGGGTTTTATACATTGACTAACTTCCAGGATCTTGCACTGCTTCTCCCCACCCCTGAGACCTTATTGGGAAGCTTCTGATCAGTTTCAGGTGTTTTCTATCTATATCTATTAGTAGACTGCCTTTCCCTAGTGCTGGCTGTGACCAATTATTACTTTAGAGAAACAGTTAACAACTGCCTGACCATCACCTGATGGTCGCCCAACACTCCTGGTGTGTGAGGGGTGGTGGTGAAGGGAGAGCCCTCTCCTACCCTGCTCATACATGACTAGCTACCTACTATAACATTAATCACTATCTTTTATTAAGCATTGATGTTCTGAGGACTGTTGTAAGGTTTTAAATTTATTCAATTATTTTATTCACTGAAATCCCATAAAAGACTTATTAGCTTTATTTTACAAATGAGAAAGCTTATGCTAAAGAGAAAAAGTAGCTTATCCACTAACACACAGTAGGAATTAGCACTCATAGAATCATAGGATTCAGAGTTTATGGGAATCAATATTATTTCAAGTTTTTTTCTGTTTGAATATTTTAATCACTGGCATTAAGAATAATCTGTGTGAGTCATGGTTAAGAAAGATTAATTAATAACCCACTATATGTCAAAGAAGGTCAAACAAGGTGCTGGTCACTAGAGTATGGTGGTGAATTTAAAAAATATGGTCACTGCCTTCATGGATTCTAATGGAGCATCAGGCAAAACCAAGCTATCAGGCAGGTGTAGGTAATATTAAGAAAGTTGAGGGTGGTGCAGTGGCTCTCACCTGTAATCCCAGCACTTTGGGAGGTCAAGGGCGGATCACCTGAGGTCAGGAGTTTGAGACCAGAGACCAGACTGGCCTACATGGTGAAACCCTGTCTCTACTAAAAATACAAAAATTAGCTGGGTGTGGTGGTGGCCACCTGTAATCCCAGCTACTCAGGAGGCTGAGGCAGGAGAATTGCTTGAACCCAGCAGGCAGAGGTTACGGTGAGCCAAGATTATGCCACTGCACACCATCCTGGGTGACAGAGCGAGACTCCATCTCCCTGCCTCCAAAAAAAAAAAAAAAAAGTTGATTATGGCTCAGCATATGTAACAATTTATGTAGGAGTTTATTTGACATAAGATGATTAAGAAAAAAAATGTCTCTAACCAGAACTGTATAAGGTGAGATTGAAAGAACAAAACAAGAGAGGCCTATGAGAAATGAGAGAATTTCAGCCAGAGGAAATAACATATCCAAAAACTTTGTGACTTTTATGGTTGTAGCAGGCTCATTAGGAGAGGGGTGAAATGGAATATGGTTAAAGCATACATGGCCTTAAAAGATCATCATAAAATATTTGATTTTCATTTTAATTCCAACAATAATTCATTCCAGCTTTTTTTTTAGTTTGTTTTGTCTTATTGTTTGTTAATTGAATGAATTATTTCTTTCTGTATCTTATAAACTGTGTCATAAGTAACATCTTAGATATGGACTTAAATGGCAATATTGATAATTGCTAGAGGCTCAATGTGGAGACTCTGAAGTCTACAGAGCCACAACCTTAAAGAAGCCCCACACTTTTGTGGGATTTACCTCCAGAAACCCTGCCAGGTTCTCAGTGAGGATATAAGAAAGATGCCCTCAAGACTCTGGCAGGGCTTAGAGAACGGTGGCACCCATTGTAAAGCCTCTGTCTTCCATTACAAATGCTCACTCTCCAGTAGATGGATTTTGTTTAAGTTTGTGAAGTAGAATCCTCTACACTTTTCTTCCTCTCCAGCTTTCCTGTGTCATTTAAGGGGAAAAAGCACAAAGTTAACAAAAAATATGGCTTCAAGGAAACACTGGGAATGTTACAGTCAGGGAAATGAATAAAAGGCAAGGAAACAACAACAACAACGACAACAACATCAACAACAACAACAAAAACAAAAACAAAAAACTACACCACTGGAGAAATGATATAAATGTTAACAAAGACTATTACCAAGACAGCCTTAAAGTTTCCCTCAGTTTGACTGAAATTTACACAGTCTTCTTCAGACCTCTGACCTTCATTTTCTTACTTACTTTAGAAAACTAGGGTGTAATTGTAAATTATTTTTCTGCTCCTCTGACATATAAAAGTTTGAAAAGACTCTTGCCAGGACTTTCTCAAGGACCTGGGGGCCATCCCTTTGAAATACAATCAAGGAAGATAGTCCCTTGTCTCTGTTTCTGTGGGAGGGTAGGATCCTAACCTTGTTTCTCCAATCTGTGAAACTACCTCCTGTCAGGAAGATAGAAACAAGCTTACTTTTCCTTTGAGTATAGTCAATTAGATGGCCTAAGAGCCACCCATCCTGGTTTTTAAAAGCTCTCCTGCCTTTTGTTAGAGTGAAGTTGAGTATCCAGACTTGGTATGCTCTCTCTCCCACGTGGCTGACAATAGTATTGGAAAAAAAAAATCAATTTCTGTTTGTTCATCTTTGTCCATTGTGATACAGTTATCTTTTATTTTTATTTTATTTTATTTTATTTTTTGGAGATAAGGTCTCACTCTGTCGCCCAGGCTGGGGTACAGTGGCATGATCAAAGCTCACTGCACCCTCTGCCTTTCAGGCTCAAGTGATACTCCCACTTCAGCCTCCCAAGTAGCTGGAACTACAGTCCTACACCACCAAATCTGTCTAATTATTGTATTTTTTGTCCAGTGAGGGTTGCATCATGTTTCCCAGGCTGGTCTCGAACTCCTGGGCTCAAGCAATCCACCAGTATTGGCCTCCCAAAGTGCTGGGATTACAGGCATGAGCCTCTACACCTGGCCCGGTGTGATTTTTTAACAGTTTGTTGGTGCCCTGACCCTGATCAGGACTGGAACCTCCATTAAACTCTGGATCTTTCACCCTAAGGAAAGTACACACCCCTCACACCTGTGTTGACTTTGGCTAGACTCTGGGAGATACTTCAGTGAGTCTGAATCCTGATTCTATGCTATAGACATTTTTGAGGCATCATAGGAGTGGATTTTGATTCTTTTGAGCAATTATATAAGGGTTAAGGTCCCCTTTTGGGTTAATATCCTTGCACATTTTAGAGTCTTACAAAACCAGAGGCCTCCTGTTATAATGGAAATAGATTCGCAATCTACTGATACTCTTCTGCCTCATATTCCTGCTCACTATGTGCTAGGGGACTACGCTACATGCTCTGTCCACTTCCTTTTTTTTCCTTTGGCATGATGTTAGAAAGGATAATTTAAAACTTCAATTGCCTTTTTGGAAAACAAGATTTCCTGAAGCTGGTTCATCTAAAACTTCTCCCATCTCTCACTTCCAGTTTTCTTTCTCTCTTGCCCACCTTCGAGCTTTCCTGTAGCTCCCTAAAATCCTTTGATCTACCTTCTCCATCCCTTTATCTACCCCTGAATCATCTTTTTCTTCCTACTTCAGCCCCTCAAATCCCAATATTCACTTGAATTTTGGGTCCCCTGACCTCTTCAGAGCGCTGAAGGGGTTCATGCACCCCAATAGTAACCCCTTGGTACCAGAAGATAGAAACAGATGGGGTATTTCATCTATTCACATGGGTTTTGGAGACACCCAGATATCTTCTTGGTGTCTCTTCAGCCCCTCACCCAAAATTTAGTCTACAGCCTTCACAAAATTATGTATCAGTGCACAAAAAAATATTAAACGCCTTCTTCATAAATATTGTTAGGAAACTTTAGCCCTCTTATTGGGCCAGTAACCACAATTTGTCTCAATTGTCAGAAACACAATTCTGATAAAATCTAAAATCAAACAGAGTTGAGAGTCAACAGCTACAAAAACAGGTAACTTTTGTATTGCTGTGTTTATGCCTGACTCATAGCTAAAGTTTTAGAACGAAAGATAAAAGATCTTTATTTGCATCTGTCTCATATATACGTATGTATGCATTAAGTTACGAATGTGACATTTTCCTACCTCCAGATGGTATTACCAAATTCATTTATAGAATTGCTTAAAGGAGCTCTATTATAATTGCTATAGAAATAAATAAGTGCTAATATATTAAATATTCCTAAATATAGAAACTAACCCAAATGTTTTAAAGATTCAGATTTATATAATTTGAGTAAGCCTTTGGCAAATAAGACTTGTGTCTTATTTGTTTACATAACAAAGGCTATGTCTTCTGAGTAATCAGCATTAAGTATAAGAAGACATATATTTTCTTCTACGTGGGTTTACTAATTGAATAATCTAATATTATATCTATAGGATATTTAATATTATAAAAATCAAATTTGATTTGATCAAATTGAATCATGACAAATTTTATTTAAAAATAATATATGTTATAATATGTCTGTTTTAAAATAATTTTCAAAATATGTTTGGTAACTTGAAAACTTAGAAATACTAAATTAAATAATAAATATTCATCAAACATTGACATTATTCTAAGTGAGATAAAATACTGAAACATTAATTATTAAGCATAAGTTTGTTTATATAATTTTGCATCTTATTTTTATATGGTATGCAAAAGCCAAATATATTTGAGTCTGTTAATAAAAGTTTATTTTTAGCTCAATGAGAATCTAGAATACAGATTTTAGAATTTATAAATTTTAATATGATGTGATACAGATAAGATAGTGTTTCTAATATGTATGCAATACTGTTGAGTGATATTTCAGTGAAGTAAATAATATGTCACATTTTATAGAAAGTAAACCATATGCTTAGCAATTTAAAACTAATCTCCATGAGCAGTAATTTAATAATAGATGTTAAATATGGAAATCTAACCAATATCTACTCTCTCCAAACTTGTTCAACATAGTTTAGTAGCAAAGAAATCAGACGTGGAAAACTTGTGCTCAAATCCTGATTCTGCCACTCTTAAGCAATTGAACTCTAATGAAGTTATTTAGTCTCTCCAAGGTTCAGTTTCCTCACAAAGATAGTGATACTTCAAAAACATAACTGTGTGTGAGTATTCAATACTATTTATGCATTTGAAAATATTTACCCAGTAAACACTGGACAGTTTTATTAGCAAATATTTTTCAAAGAGAAAACCAAACCTTCATGTATGTGGAAATAAAAACAAATCCAATTTGATTATATTTGCACAAAAATGTATTTATTATATTGCACAAAAATATTTATTCAAATATATATTTTGAATATAAAATATTCTGGGACTTGCAGAGTCATTGCACAACCAAAGGGCCAATGTTCTAGAGAGAAAAGAATGATAGACAGGTGAAATTATATTTTGAAATTGTTTTTTCTGGATGTAATTTACTAATATTCAGATAAGACAGCCTCTGTTAAAAAAAAAAAGAATAGAGTTTTTGTAGTATTGTTTTGCTGAATAAACTAGGTTTAAAGTTTGCAAACTGATGATGTGCTAGAATAAATAAACCAAGAAATTAGTTGATGCCAGATTATTATAAAACCATCAGATCTCATGAGAACTCACTCACTATCAGGAGAACAGCATGGGGGAAACCGCCCTCATTATCCAAGTACCTCCACCTGGTTCTGCCCTTGACTCGTGGAAATTATGGACATTACAATTCAGGTGAGATTCGAGTGGGGCCATACAGCCAAACCATATCAGGCCATTTGCCTCTAAAAAGGGATATCTGAGAATGGGGAATGTATAAAGAAAAAAGGTTTAAATACCTCATGGTTCTGCAGGGTGTACAAGAAAGGTGATACTGCATCTGCTCTGGTAAGGGCTTCAGGGAGCTTACAATCATAGCAGAAGGTGAAGGGGAAGCAGGTGTGTCAGATGATGAGGAAGGGAACAAGAGAGCAAGGAAGGAGAGGTCCAGACATTTAAACAACCAGATCTCATGTGAACTAACTGAGCAAGAACTCACTCATCACTGAGGAGATGGTGCTAAACCATTCATGAGAGATCTGCCTCCATGATTCAATCACCTCCCACCAGGACCCACCTCCAACTTGAAAAGCAGATTTCAACATGAGATTTGGAGGGAATCTTTAAAGTCCTCAAATAAAATCATTTCTATATCCTTTAGAGTCCTCAAAGAAAACTTTACTTTAGAGTCCTCAAAGAAACTTCTTTAGGGTCCTCAAAGAAAATAACTTCCTTAGAGTCCTCAGAGAAAATAATTTCTATATCCTTTAAAATCTCTTTCAATGGAAGGTGAAATAATGATAACTTTATGCAAAAAAGTTAAGAAAATCTGTAACAAGTAGAAATACATTAACAGAATACTGAAAGCAGGCTTTTAGGAGGAAGTAGTTGATGATAGCAGGAAGATTGAAGGAAATGCAGGAAAGAATGAAAATCAAGTAAAATATATATATATATATATATATATATATATGAGAAAAAATATACGGCCGGGTGCAGCGACTCACGCCTGTAATTCCAGCACTTTGGGAGGCCAAGGCGGGTGGATCACGAGGTCAGGAGATCGAGACCATCCTGACTAATACGGTGAAATCCCGTCTCTACTAAAAAAACAAAAAAACAAAACAAAAAAAAATTAGCCGGGTGTGGTGGCGGGCGCCTACAGTCCCAGCTACGCGGAGGCTGAGGCAGAAGAATGGCGTGAACCTGGGAGGTGGAGTTTGCAGTGAGCCGAGATCGCACCACTGCACTCCAGTCTGGGTGACAGAGGGAGACTCCGTCTCAAAAAAAAAAAAGAAAAAATATACATGTGCATGTCTATATTGGTTTAATTATATGCAGAAATACAAGTGTAGAAACAATAATGCAAAATGAAAGAAGGGCAAGTAGATTTTTGTGTTCTATGGTTTTAATAGTTGGAAATTGTAAAAGTTATTTTATATTGTAATAGGTCACTAATGTATATTGTAACTCCATTATAACCACTGAAAAAACAATAAGACGATGTATATCAAGTTAATGAGAAAAATAACAAATATTCTTTGAATCTGAATAAAGATACAAAAAGAAAATACAAAAGTTAAAATAAAAACTACAGTAATATAAACACAAATTTGTCAGTAAATTAAATATAAGTAGGTGAATTTTATGTACCAATTAAAAATTGGATTGTTAGAATAAATTACAAATTTTAAAATATCTGTATATAAGAAACAGAACTTAAATTTAAGAATAAGAAAAAGTTACAGGTAAAAGGATGAAAACAGATACAAGCAAATGCTATTAAAAGAATGTTGGTGTATCTACATTTATTGTTGACTAATGAAAAAGTGAAGTATAAAGGAGATATTGATAATGATAAAGATGAAAATATCGACATAAAGTTACATTTAAAATCTGTGTGTACTGAATAGTTTTAAGTATATAAAACAAAATCAAATGTATGAATAGGAGAAATTGACAAATCCACCCCCAAATTAGTTAACATACTTTCTCAATTGGTAAAACAAGTGGTAAAAAGTCAATAACAGTTTAACAGATCTATAAAACAAACTGAGTGTCATAACATAAACAAAATGTCGAACCAAAAAAGCCACACACATAAGATGATGCCATTTAAATTTTAAAAGCAGGCAAAATGTACCCATGATCTGATAAATCAACATAGGGGTTACCTATGAGTGGGTTAATGATTGTGAGGGAGTACAAGGGAAAGTTTTGAAGTTTGAATTAATTTCTGTTACTATACATGGTGCTGGTGACACGAGTCTATTCACTTCATGAAAGTTCAAGTTGTACAATTATGGATTATGCATTTTATATATGTTACATTTTTATAGAACATTTTCTTTAAAACATGCCATCCACAAATAAACACACACACATACACATATATGTATACAAAAGCTATTATGTGGTTAAAGAATAAAATAATAGCTTGCTTTCTTTTGAGATGAAAAAGAAAGCATCTCCACTCTGACAACTTTAGAGACATTTCAGGATATTGCATCAGAATTTCTTGTAGTGAGAAACTTTCTTTGTATCAGTTATCTTAACATTCCATTAAGTCACTTAAAAAATTATAATAAAATAGCTTGATTCTCTTTCCCACCCCTAGGCAGAGGAGGGAGAAAACTTGACAAACTGTTTCATTAAAACAGCTTGGAAAGTGTTTTTTAAAATCAAAGGTAAAAAGTGAATTGGTGTCCCTAAAATTTAAGAGAAACCATGTTGGCTAAACAAAATAACATATAGGCGTTATCACTCCATCTGTCTCCATCTATCACATACCACCCCTTTCTGTTTTTGTTTAAACACAATATTCACTTTCCCTACCTGCCATAGTTTAATTATTTCATGTAAATCAAAACCACACTTCGCCCTCCTTCAAGAAAGAGTAGAGCCAAAGTTCAGTTACTGCTGAAACTGAAAGTTCAAGATCTCCAAGTGATGTTCATTCCTTGTTTTGAGTTCCTTAAGCCACACCTACTTTTATTATTACACATTGTGTATATGTATCAAAACATTACACTGTACCCCATACATATGTACAATTATTATGTGTCAATTAAAAATAAAATGAAGTATTATGGGCCAATTGACATATTTACTAACAGTACCACATTGTGTATACCGTTGGCTAGGCCTTGCCAGGGTATGTAAGCCAATTCTTTGCCTTTTAATATTGCCTCCTGAGTTTTTTTCTAGATTCCATTCTTATACCACTTATATAGAAGAAATACAATTTTCCCGTAACTTCCATAGAGAAATCACAAAATTAATATTGTAAGTGTTATGCATGCCTGTTTGCTTCCGATCCCGATGAATCTAAATAGCTAGATAATCCTCTGTGTTTTCAATTCTGTGGGGAAAAGTTGGGTCAATTATATTTATTTCTCCCTTTATTATTAAAGCCTGAAATTCCATACAGCTGAGTATGCTGGGTAATAAAATATATTTATATATCACAGGAGGGTTATTATGTATGATACCAAAAGTCCTGCCATGAATTTTTGCTTCCAAAAGACAAACAACAGATTTTGGTCAATAGTTTAGATAAAAAATTGCAAAATAAAGTATCATAAAGTCTTAAGGTTACTTGAGGGGCAATCTGTAACTTGGCAACACTGTATTATCTTTACATTTGTTCATGTAATTTGGAGTGTATCTGATAACGTAATAAGAAACTCTGGTCAAAGTATCACAACTTAATCCGTATTGGGAAGACACTTAGTCACTGGTGTGGAAATGGAGATATTTTAATATAAATTTTGCATATAAAATATGCAAATATTTTAATAAAAATATATGTATATTTCTACTATCATCTTTTAAAGCGTTGAAATAAAGGCTTATTTAAAAATTATTTGAGGGTGGGTGCCATGGCTCATGCCTGTAATTCCAGAACTTTGGGAGGCTGAAGCGAGATGATCACCTGAGGTCAGGAGTTCAAGACCAGCCTGGCCAACATGGCAAAACCCCATCTCTACTAAAAATACAAAAATATCAGCCAGGCATGGTGGCACATGCCTGTAGTCCCAGCTACTTGGGAGGCCGAGGCATGAGAATCACTTGAACCCAAGAGGTGAAGGCTGCAGTAAGCCCAGGTCACTTCCACTGTACTCTGGCCTAGGTTACAGAGAGATACTTTGTTTCAAAAAAAAAAAAAAATTCTTTGAAGGAAGTGATGGGAGTCATATACTTTAGAAGACCTTACCTGGTAGACCTAGTGCTATAGATTGAGAAATAACATACAACATATATCTTATTAGACTATATGAATCATTAATAATTGTAGATGTCTCTTCTATTCTAGAATTTTAGAAGTCTACTTATCACCCAAAACATAACTTAAGCATTCTTTAACTTGTTTCTTCAATATTAGAATAAATTTTATAGAAATAATGTTAGACTTTGCTACACATCACATCAATAATACAAAGTAGCAATTTAATTTTGGTCAAAAATGAAACAAAAACTATTATCTTTGGCTCATAAATAAGGGGCTATTTTTTTCTGGTTGCATGAGCACAGAATATATGGAAGTACCAATATATGAACATATGTCACATTTTTTTCTCCTATAGAATTTGATTCAATGGTCAAACATTGTAGTGTCTGACATACATAAGTGTATGAATTTGTTAAAAAAATCACATGAAATATTCAAACAATTGAAGAAATATAGAAGACTAGTACAACAAGATTGTGGTATAAAACATAATATGATGAATAATATATTTAGCATCGTGATAAGGGATATGGCTTATAGAATGAAAACAATTTATAAATGACTTCATTGCCTCTTTTGTGTGATCCCATTTATAGTAATCATTGAAAAGTACATCTTTGTCTAATAAAGAAATTCCCAGATAAATAGGCTCAGGACATTTGGGTGAAGGTTTACAGTGAAAATTAGAATACATTTTTGTATTATTACTACGGGATTCTTCCTCAGTTTTTCAGCTTCACCTGGGCTCTCTCTGAGACTTGATTGAATCAGTAAACTTAAATATGGGGACAGGATTATTTACCATGGTGGCTCAAGTCAGATTTCTGTTTATATTATCTTGAGCACTTTGTTATTGTTATTTTTGTTATTTGTTATTTTAAAATAGTAGGGAATTTTTAGGCTTTCTATTTATTTTGGGCTTACTGCACCAGTAGATTGAGCAAATCTGAAAACTGCTTAGTATGGTCATTTCACATTTTCTCTAGTGTTTCTGTCTGACATATACCATTTCAAATCCTGCTATCTCCTTTAAAACCTGAGAGCTAAATTCAACTGTGTGTACCACGCTTGTCCCAAAGTAACATGATCTATTAAAAGATGACGGTGCTTGTATAGTTCTCAATGCTTTGTAAATAAAATATATTCCATATTTATTTGTAACTTTTATTAAGCAAATATTTTAAAATTGCTATTATATGCTAGGTTCTATTCTAGACACATTCAATAGTGAATAAAATTAAACAAAAATTCTTGTTCTTAAAGGACTTATATTCTAGTTGAGGAACTCAGATAATAGATAAATTAAAGAATAAAATACAGAATATGCTAGAAAGTTATATGACTTTGGAAATATTAATAAATCAAGGACAAGGGTACCACGTGTTGTGCAAAGGTGATACAATTTTAATATGATATTCAGGGACAATCCCACTGAAAACGTAGCAATTGAGATAAGATATAAATAAGTGAGGAAGTAAGCCATGGCGAATGTGAGGCAGGAGAAAGGAATTGGCAAACAAACAAACAAACAGGAAATGAAAGATGCTGAAGTGGGACCTTCCTTGGCATGTTTGGGGAACAGAAAGGAATCCGGTGGGGCTTGAATGAAGGGAGAGAGGAGACGTTGAAGAATAGATTAATTCATCTGCCTCCTGCCTACACCATCATGTTACCTCTATCTTGGAGAAATTTAGAAAATTTCTTTGTCTCACTTTGCCAAACTTTGACACTGGTACCAATGAGAGAGGGTAGGTCAGCCCTTCAAAGCATCCTATGAATATCTCTTTGATTTGCCTCCTGAAACCCATATATAAAACCTTTGAAAATGGCTTTTTTCTATTAGGACAATTATCTATACATTTATTTAGGTTGTTATGTGCATTAATAGTGCATTCTTTGGTTGTTGAGTAGTATTGCATGTATGAATGTACCACCATTTATTCATCTATTCAAGGATATGTGGAGTGTTTCCAGTTTCAGACTATTATAATGACATTGTTATAAACATTCATATACAAAATTTTGTGTGACCCTATCTTGATTTCTGTAGAACATATGTCTAGAAGTGCAATG
Source organism: Homo sapiens (assembly GCF_000001405.40). Taxonomy (NCBI): domain Eukaryota; kingdom Metazoa; phylum Chordata; class Mammalia; order Primates; family Hominidae; genus Homo; species Homo sapiens. The sequence goes on from NC_000004.12 coordinate 116,009,288, forward strand.
ACTGGAATTCATAGTAGATGCATATTCAGTGTTTTTTAAAATAAATTCCCAAACTGTTTTAGAGAGAAGCTCAAAAGCTGTTAAGTTTGTGAAGAAACAGAATCACTCATACACTGCCCTAGTGGCAGCAAGCTTGCCAGCACTTTCTATCATTAGTTTATATTTTAGCCATTCTGATAGGTATGCATGATATCTCATATTTTGAAAGCAAATACAGTTTATTGTTTTAGAGTAGTTTTAAACTTACAGAAATATGGCCAAAAAAACTTCAGAGTCCTCATAAACCCCCTATAGATCTTTATAAACAGATAACATTAAACAATACTTTAGCAATTTTCAAATAATAAATTCATTCCAGTAGTTTTACCTCTCTAAGGCATTAACATTTTTCTCCTATAAATTTCCAGTAAATTACTGTAAACTTTATTTGACAAGGGCAATGACTGAGGCCATGTTCAGACAACTTACCAATTAAATATACAAACCATGTATTTTAATGCTACAGTATTATTTCCAGAGTTTTAGATAAGTGCACCTATATTGACTCATAAGCCTTGATTTGTCCTATTAGGTCTCTAACAGTAAAAATCAATTTGTAGTTGTATTCTTCACATATTGCCTATATTAAGTATGAAATGTTTTCTTTATTTTTCTGTATAGTTCTTTTTATGTTAAATTTAAATTTGTAATTGACACATTCAATTGTAGTCGACAAATATCCAGAATAGATTTTAGTTATAGATCTGGATAAATGAGGGATAACAGAGATTAAGTTAACTCATTGCAGCCTAATGCACTCAAGAGATGATGTGGCAGAATGATTATTGTGGCTAAAGGGTCATCATTATACAGCAGGAAAACAAAAAGAACACTGACAAGAAATTATTACTAAGTACTGTTTTTTTGGTTTTTGAACACTCTTGTGTATCTCTGTTTCAATTCATGGAGTCCTAGTATTCCTAAATCACTGCTTTATTCTTATTTAAGTTTTGAATAGTATTACTTCAACTGATGCTGAATTCTAGCTTAGTATTACAGGTAAGAGAGAGAAACATTCATTTTGATAATTTTTTCAAACACCCTGGTGTTTTGAGGCTTATTAGAGAAGTGAGGAGGTTTAAGAAAAACTTTGATACTCATCTCTGTAATGAGGTGGGAAGTATTAAATTTGGGAAGTATTTGGGAAACAGCAGCATATAGATAGATATTAAAGCCAAGGCACTAAATAAGGTCACCATGTAAATGAATGTAGATAGTGATGAGATCCAAAGTCTAAGACCTAAGCTGCATCTTGGTGAAGTATTTAGGAGAGGAAGTGGCTACAGCAACAAGACTGTAAAATATAATCTGCTAATATGGGAGAAAAACTAGGAAACAAGGAGAGTCTCCACTTTAGTATTCTCCACACGGCAGCCAGATGGATCCTGTTAAACGTGCTAAAATCCTCAAATATAATTTAATTTATCTCAAGCATTGAGATTAAAAGGAAAGGAAGTAACTGACACTTTAAAATGTTGCAGACAGAAAAATAAGAACTAGCATAGTGAAATGTTTGAGTTTAGCAAAAACATAGTCATTGTTGGTGTTGACAGTGTCTGTAGAATGGTATAGAAAAATTCACATCAGAAGAGATTTGAGAAATATTGGAGGAGAGAATGTATTGTCATTTTATGTGGGAAAATTTATAAACAGTTCTATTTAAAAGACAGCAGGAAACCAAGATAGAAGCTCCAAGGGGAAACGTAATTAAACTCTTTCCTTTTCACATGGGAGAAACCATAGTAATGATCCGATCAAAAGGTCAACAGCCAGAGTCTTGGCGATTGAATTACTGGCCAATGAATTTCATTAACTTTTGAGATAGCATGAATTTATACACAATGCAGGGCCTATGTTGCTTTATGTAGCTAATGGATCTCGGTTTGAAGCCTTGTTCAAAATATGTCATTTTGGGACAAAGTAACATCCACAGCTCTCTCTAATCTCTGCTTAAAGCCAATCTTAAGTAGCAGGGGTTATAGTAGTGTGTATGGGGATGAGGAAGGATATTAATATGTTCTATTTGAGATTTAGGGATTACATTTGTTTTTGCTCACATGGTTTTTCTCATCATTTGCTGTGAATCACTAATTACTGAATTTTTTCCTCTTTTCAGCAGCTTCACATATTGCAAAGATTTGTCTGATTATCTAACAGATGAATTTCTCATTTATATGGTGATTTTTGTTCATATGTTTTTTCTTCTGTCTATATTTTCTCATCTTTTCAGTGTGAACGAGGGACCCAGGCATCCTGAAACATGAGAAGGCAGGTAGACAGTGTAAGCAACGAGCTCCACACATTTTTTTTTCTTGTCCAACAGATGTATGTAGCTAGCAACACTGGAGAAACATAATAACAAAAATATGTTTTACAAGGTTTAAATCAACTGGAGATTTGGGCGATCATTTTCCAATAATGGTTAAGGCAGAATTTGAATCTAAAGAATTAGAATTTCCATAATATCTCAATTTATGTAAGGATCATAGAACTTTGGAAGATTTTTTATTCTATATCATAAAATAATTATAAAATTTACAATAAATACAACTGTAATAAAATTAACTTTTAAAAACATGGTGGATTAAAAAAGTGAATCCACCATCCCTAATATATGCTATATTACATATATGCAATATCATCATTATTAATTGATAAGATGTATAATTTAATGTTAATAATGTCACTTTCAAGAGTATATTATTATATTTTAAATTACTTTACAAACATGAAATCTATTGGTAATATTTTTAGAAAATTGTCTATCATAAAAATATACAATCATTAATTTGTATAAGTAATATATGCTTATGTCACTGAGTGAAACAGTAATATTGAGGCAATTACATAACATATTAATGAATATGATAAAAATTATAGTGGATAAGAACCAGGTGATTTGACTTATAATTTTTAATAGGTTTACTTACAGGAAAATACATTATACATCTTAATAAATTTAAGGGCTTATCAATTACGATGCCCCAAAATTCCTTTGACAATCATATACTTTCATAGCCAATACATTTTTACAGAAATCTATGTAAAATATAGAAACTGCAGATACAGAGGAGTGACATCAGCAAGAAGTTAGAATATAATTTTTCAGTGTTTCCCTTCTCAGTAACATCAACTTGAATAAGTATGCACAAAAATACCCTTATAAGCTAGTGAATGTAGAGGAGAGATCATAGCACTTGGATGTACGTATCACAGAAATTTAAAAAGACACATTGAAGTGAATAAAAAGGACAGTTTCACAGCCACATCACCCTTCCCCCAAGCCCAGGCAACACAGCATAGAGAGAGATGTCATGTGGAGCAGCGGTACCCAACCCTGGATATCCCGGGTACTAAAAGGATGAGTAGCAATGCAATAATAGTAAAAGACAAATATCACATTAGACAGTAAATCATTAGAAAATCAGTGGACTTAAATAGAAATCGTATGGCCCTAACAGCCATATACAGAACACTCCATCCAAAAGCAGCAAAATGCACATTCTTTTCAAATGCACATTAAATATTGTCTAGGATATATCATGTATAAGGCCAAAAAAATGTCTTAGCAAAATTAAGATGGAAATAATAAGTTTCTTTTTTGACCGCAATGGTATAAAACTAAAGATCAGTAACAAGAAAAAAAAATTGGAAAATTTACAAAAATATGAAATTAAATAATAGAATCCTCAATAACAAATGAGTCAAATAAGCAATCCAAAGGAACATACCATAGCTTGAGTCAGATGAAAATGGAAACACAGTATGCCAAAACCTATGGGATACATCCAGAGAAGTTCTAAGAGGAAACTTGGTAGTGGTAAATTACTACATTAAGAAAAGAAGATCTCAAACAACCTAATTTTATATCTCAAGAAACTAGAGAAGGGACAAACAATCCCAAAGTCAATAGAAGAAAGCAAATCATAAAATCAGAGCAAAAATAAATGAAATAAAGACTAGAAAACAATAGAAAAGATTAATGAAACTCAAAGTTGGTATTTTTTTTTAAAAAAATAAGCAAAATTAAGAGCCTTTAGCTAGACTAAGAAAAAAAGAGAAAAACAAATATCAAACAAAAAAGGAGACATCACAAACTAGTACCACAGAAATAAAAAGTATCTAAGAGGCTCACGTGAACAAATTGAATAATGTATTAGGTTGGTGCAAATGTAATTGTGATTTTTGCCATTAAAAGTTTTGCATTAAAAGTAAGATTTTAATGGTAAAAACTGCACTTATGTTTGCACCAACCCAATGGAACAAATGGATATCTTTCTGTAAACATATAACCTATGACGACTGAATTATGAAAAAAATAGAAAATCTGAATAGAACTAATAATAAGGATATCCATTCAGTGATAAAATCTTCCATCAAAATATGCCCATGACCTGATAGCTTCACAGCTGAATTCTACCAAACATTAAAATACATTCAAAACATTCTCAATGTCTTAAAAAAATTTTTTTTTATTATACTTTAAGTTCTAGGGTACATGTGCACAACATCCAGGTTTGTTACATATGTATACATGTGCTATGTTGGTGTGTTGCACCCATTAACTTGTCATTTACATTAGGCATATCCCCTAATACTATCCCTCCCCCCTCCCCCCCACCCAATGTCAGGCCTTGGTGTGTGATGTTCCCCACCATGTGTCCAAGTGTTCTCGTTGTTCAATTCCCACCTGTGAGTGAGAACATGCGGTGTTTGGTTTTCTGTCCTTGGGACAGTATGCTCAGAATGATGGTTTACAGCTTCATCCATGTCCCTACAAAGGACATGAACTCATCCTTTTATATGGCTGCATAGTATTCCATGATGTCTATGTGCCACATTTTCTTAATCCAGTCTATCATTGATGGGCATTTGGGTTGGTTCCAAGTCTTTGCTATTGTGAATAGTGCTGCAATAAACATACATGTGCATGTGTCTTTATACCAGCATGATTTATAATGCTTTCGATATATACCCAGTAATGGGATGGCAGGGTCAAATGGTGTTTCTAGTTCTAGATCCTTGAGGAATCGCCACACTGACTTCCACAATGGTTGAACTAGTTTACAGTCCCACCAACAGTGTAAAAGTGTTCCTATTTCTCCACATCCTCTCCAGCACCTGTTGTTTCCTGACTTTTTAATGATCGCCATTCCCAAAAAAATTAAAGAGGAAATAACTCATCCAATCTCATGAGATTAGCATTACCCTGATACCAAAGCCAGATAAGACACTACAAAAAATAATGAAAGGTCAATATTCTTGATTAACATAGTACAAATTTGCAACAAAATACTAGCAAACCAAATTCAATGACACATTAAAGGAATCATAAATCATGATCAAGTAGTATTTATCCCTGGATACAAGGATGTTCATGGTTTAGCACTTGCAAATTGATAATTCTGATACACCATATTAAGAAAATGAAAGACAAAATTATGTGATCACCTCAATGGATGTGAAGCAGAAGTTAATGAGAAGAAAAAGAAATTTTTCTCCTTTAGGTAGCTTCCCTCTCAAGGCCCCACCCCCTGCCCCGCCATGTGCTATTGTACCCTGTTTGGCAAGTTCTGTAAGTTTGCAAATTCCTGTGTTCTATAGCTGGTTTCTGTAAGTTCCTGCTTCCCATTTGGGCAGTACAGTGAAGGACACAAGATAAGCTTGAGCAAGCCTAGATTACAGCCACCTGGGCCACATAGCAGGAATCACATGACATGCTTAAGCAAGCCTGAGTTACAGGCCTGTCACTGTTTGATAAACTGCCTTGTTCTGCTTCTGTAGACCTGCTTTCATGCCACTGCCTTTTGTTCCACTGTAAGCTTGTTTCAAACTAGCCAACCCTCTTTCAGAAGTGTGTATAAAAGTCAAGCCCTGTCTTTGTTCAGGGCTCAGCCTTTGGATGTTAATCCACTAGTCCTGAGTGCACTCAATAAAATCCTCCTCTTCTACCTATTGGTCTCTCCAGTCTACTGATTTCTGCACCATTTTGGCGAGCCAGCCAGCAGTGGAAATATCAGGTTTGCTCTCTCCTTTGCCTGTGGGTCTGGGGCCTTGAGCTGGGGGAGACCCATGACCTTAGGTACCATTGGAGGACTTTAACCCAGAGAAGGTATTGGCTCTCCTGTGACCTGGTGCCCCTCTCTGACAGCACAATGGAACCTAAGGGGTTATAGGATGATTCCAGGAACAGTGTGCTACAGGACCATGGTAAAGTTTGGGGCCCAAGTCAGGACCCATCCCATAAGGATGAATGGAGAGCCTCATCAACTCCCAGGGGTGTGCACTGACTAGCCCAGCCTAGGATGCCAGAGTGGCTCACAGAGTCAGATGAAACCTGCCCCTGGGGGTGTGCTGAGTAGTCTGAACCAGGAAGTGAAGAGTGGCTCACAAAGTTGGATGAAACCTACACGCCACCCAGGAAAGAGGAACTAGGAGCGGGGAAGTGTGTGAATACATGTGAAAGAGGTGGTTCCAAAGGAAGCCAACGTGGGGAGTGAAGTGTGTGGGGCTGCATATCTCTTAGCATGGATTGTACACTCCTAGCGAGGTGTGGGACTGACCAGGACTAGTGGCAAACTTCCTCCGGGACTACTGAATATGGCTTAAGGGGGTGCCCCACAATTCAGTACTTGTGGTGGTCTGGGTTCAGGACTTATAAGAATCCTCCAATGCCAAGTGGTGTCTGAGATACTCCTGCAAGGCGGACAGTCTAATTGGTCTGAAGTGAAAGTAAAAGAGTGAATGAGTTGTGCCATAATTGGGAAGAAATGGGAGGGAAGCCGTTGAAACCACCCCATTGGAATGTATGTTAAAGAACTTTGAGAAAGGTTATGTGGGGGATTACGGGATCAAGTTGAACTCCAAGAGGTTAAGAACTCTCTGTGAAATAGAATGGCCCTCTTTTAATGTCAGAAGGCTGGCTGAAGAAACTATAGATAGGGAAACAATTGGCCATGTATTTAAGGTGGTGACTGGGGTTGGAGGACAGCCAGGGCATCCAGACCAATTTCCTTATATTGACTCATGGCTAAATATAGTCTAAACCCAACCTGTGTCACTGCAGCCCTGCCTGGCAGCTTATTGCAAAACGTTCGTGGTTTAAGCTGAGTCTAAAGTGAAAGAAAAATCAGCTTTGCTGTCAGCTACAAAGACAAAGGGAAAGCCACAGGAAAAACCAGTTTTGCAGGAACTGTCAGAGGAGACAGAAATTCTTCCTCCATATGCCCCAATCTACCCCCTTTACCAAGGCCGGCTCCCAAGGAGTCAAACTCAGATGATAACCAAACCCGGGCCTCGCCCCAAAAGGAAAAATCAAAGCCACTGCCCCAGGAGGTCAAGGAGGAAAGTCAGGATGATCAGGCCAGCTGCCTCTGGTCTGGCTACGCCCAGGCTGTGCAGATGCCTCTCCGGGAGACTCAGAGACCCCTTTATTATGATTAACATGGCCAGGTTCAAGAGGGGAGAAAAGGAACCCCTCCTCTGGGAGGTTGACCAGGAGAAGGTGTTTAAACAAATCAAAGAAGCCTTAGGACTCCCTGACATAACTAAGCATTCCTTTCTGTATGTCCATGAATGAAATGAATGACTATAGGAGTCCTGACTCAAGTCATAGGATCATGGCATTGCCTGGTGGCATAACTTATCCAAGCAACTGGACTCAATGGCACTAAGGTGGCCTCCTTGGCTTAGGGCACTAGCTGCCACTTTATCAAACTGACTCTGGGGCAGCAGCTGACCATCCAGGTACCACATTCAGTTACAACTTTAATGGATCAAAGAGGGCACCATTGGTTATCAAATCCAAGGATGACTCAGTACCAGGGGCTCCTGTGTGAAAATCCCTGCCTAACTTTAGAAACAGTAAACACCCTTAACCTGGCTACCCTACTTCCGATCGAACCAGGAGTTCCCCTCCATGACTGCATAGAAACAGTAGATGAGATATTCTCAAGTCGGGGAGATCTTACAGACTAAACCCTCAGGGACCCACATGTTGAGTACTTCACAGATGGGAGCAGTTTCATATTGGAAGAAGTCTGTCCGGCAGGTTATGCGGTGGTAACATTGGACTCAGTGGTAGAGGCTCAGCCTCTGCCCACTGGAACATCAGCCCAAAATGCAGAGCTAATAGCCCTAATAAAGGCTCTTTTGCTGGCAAAAGACAAAAAGGTCAATGTTTACACTAATGTCAAATATGTCTTTGCCACATTGCATGTTCATGGAGCTATGTACCGAGAGAGGACTCTTAACTGCTGAGGGGAAAAGAAATAAAGTACAAAGAGAAAATTTTACAGCTGTTAGACACTGTATGGGCCCCAAAGAAGGTAGCTGTAATGCACTGCAGAAGGCACGAAAAGGCTGGAACACTAGAGGCCAAAGGAAACAGAAAGGCAGACAAAGAGGCAAAACGGGCAGCAATGACTACTCCACCCTTTAAAAAGGAAGCCCTAACTATGCCTCTCCTCCCAGAGCCTCCCCTCTCAGAGATCCCAAGTTATTCTCCAAATAAGAAGGCCTGGTTTGCCCGAGAAATTGGAAAATACACTGAAAGCATGGTGGAAATTCTGACGGGAGACTAGCCATTTCTGAAATGGTGGCCCCTAAGTTTGTAAAAGAATTCCACCAAGGGACTCACATGGGAAAAATGGCACTAGAAATGCTACTGCGATGTCATTTCTGTCATTTCTATGTGCCATGACTCACTGCCATCACCCGAGGTGTTTGCAAACAATGTCTAATTTGTGCCCAAAACAACCCATGACAAGGGCCCACTCAGCCCCACAGAATTCAGAAAATGGGAGCCTCACCCTGTGAAAACCTACTAATGAACTTCACCAAGCTGCTCCGAGCAGGGGGCTATCAGTACATGCTGGTACTCGTCTGCATGGGAGGTAACTAAAGTACTGTTAAGAGACATTATCCCCAGATTTTGACTGCCCCTAACTCTTAAGTCAGGCAATGGACCGGCATTTGTAGCTGAAATAGTTCACGAACTGGCACAGCTATTAAAAATACGATGGAAATTACACACAGCCTACCAGCCACAAAACTCAAGCAAAGTAGAGCGCATGAACCGGACACTCAAACAGCTACTAAAGAAATATTGCCAAGAGACCCATCTAAGATGGGATCAGGTCCTGCCTATGGTCCTCCTCCAAGTCAGGTGCACCCCCACCAAACAAACTGCATATTTGCCCTATGAAATCTTATTCAGTCGGCCACCCGGAATCAGAGGTCAACTTAAGGGTGATCTCCGCGAACTAGGGGAATTAACTTTAAGAAAGCAAATGCAGTCTTTAAGGATAGCCATGCAGGATGTCCATGGCTAGGCATGGAAAAGAATGCCCATAAGCCTGACAGACCCAGCACACCCCTTTAACCCTGGCGACTCTGTTTAGGTCAAAAAAATCAATTCAACCACTTTGGGACCCATGGGTCCCATACTGTAATCTTGTCCACTCCCACTGCTGTTAAGGTTGCAGAAATTGTGCCTTGGATCCATCACAGTTAGCTGAAACTGGCAGCCCAAGACAGGTGGACCAGCCAACAGGACCCAGACCATCCGTGCCAGCTGATCCTATGAGGGGACCAAATTGCCATTTGAGACAACGACAGCCCTGCTCTGGTAACTCTGGAAGCTGACCAGTCTATGTACAGCTGAAGCTTGAGGAAACAACAGCCCTGCTCTAGTCACCCCGGAAGCTGACTAGTCTACACATGGCCAAAGCTTGAGTCATCATCAGGGAAGTAGATATGGTTAAAAATCTTAAGCCTAGTAGTTTTCTGTATAATGTTAATTGTTTCACTGTTGTTTTGTCACTTTGCTGAACCTTCTCCCCTGGGTAAAAACCTCTTTTGTCCTTGCTAGGTATAAATATGCTACTCTTTACTTTATTCTTACTCCCCTTGTCCATGTCAGGAGGAGGACCCATAAGAGGATGCCCCCACTGCACTCATACTGCACGGTCGGGGAGCACCATAACCAAGACCCTGATATATCATACTTATTATGAGTGTGCAGGGACCTGTCTGGGAACTTGTACACAAAACCAGACAACCTACTCAATCTGTGACCCAGGAAATGGCCAGTCTTATATATGTTATAACCCTAAGTCTCCACCTACTGAGTCCTGGTTTGAAGTACATACCAAGGAAGGGGATCTTCTAAACCAAACCAAAGTCTCTCCTTCCCACAAGGAAGTCGTATCCTTGTATTTCAGTGCTTGCCAGGCAGCATTCCTATGGTGGCCCATAATCTGCTAGCCCAGCAAGCCGCAAAAATGAGGAATGCTATTTATCAAAATAGATTAGCCTTAGACTACCTCCTAGCCCAGGAAGCGGGGGTATGCAGAAAGTTCAATCTAACTAATTGCTGCCTAGAGATTGATGACAATGGAAAGGTCATTGAAAATGTAACTGCAAAAATCCAAAAATTATCCCACGTTCCAGTCCAGACTTGGAAGAGATGGTCTCCAGATTCCCCCTTCGGGGCTGGTTTTCATCTCTTAGAGGATTTGAAACCTTAGTAGGAATAGTATTAACCATATTAGGAGTCTGCCTTATACTCCCTTGTCTCCTATCTCTCCTTGTTAAAAACATCCAATCAGCTATAGAGGCTCTTGTAGATAGACAAACTACCACTCAACTAATGACTCTAAGTAAATACCAACCTTTGCCAAATGAAAAACTACCTTTACATGAAGAATTAAATAATAGTGATGGTTTCTATTAAACCTCATTTATAAAAAGCATCAAAGGGGGAAATGAAGCAGAAGTTAAAAAGAAAGAAAAATTTTTTCTCCTTTAGGCAGCTTCCTCCTTGAGCCTACCCCATCCCCAACCTTGGCCCGCCATGTGCTATTGCACCCTGTTTGGCAAGTTCTGTAAGTTTGCAAATTCCTGTGTTCTGTAGCTGGTTTCTGTAAGTTCCTGCTTCCCATTAGGGCGGCACAGCAAAGGACAAGAGAAAAGCTTGAGCAAGCCTAGATTACAGCCACCTGGGCCACATAGCAGGAATCACATGACATGCTTAAGCAAGCCTGAATTACAGGCCTGTCACTGTTTGATAAACTGCCTTTGTTCTGCTTTTGTAGACCTGCTTTCACAGCACTGCCTTTCGCGCCACTGTAAGCTTGTTTCAAACTAGCTAACCCCCTTTCAGAAGTGTGTATAAAAGTCAAGCCCTGTCTTTATTCAGGGCTTAGCCTTTGGATGTTAATCCACTAGGCCTGAGCACACTCAACAAAATCCTCCTATTCTATCCATTGGTCTCTTCAGTCTCCTGATTCCCACAACAGATGTAGAAGAAATATTTTATAAAATGTAATTTTTATGACAAAAACTCTTAAATTAAGTATTGAAGAAATGTTCTTTAACATAATAAAAGTTATATATGACAAACTCACAACTAACATTATACTCAACATTGAAAATTTGAAAGCTCTTACTGTGAGATGAGTAACAGTACAAGGATGTCCCTTCTTACCACTTCTATTTAACATTGTACTCAAAGTCCTAAACAAAGCAATTATACAATGGAAAAGAATAAAAACCATCCAACCTTACCACAAAACTGTTAGAACTAATAAGTAAATTAAGTAAAATTGAAAGATTCTAAATCAATAAAAATCAGTAGCATTTCTATATGCTAACAATAGACTATCATAAAAAAATCAACAATCCCATTTCCAATAGCACAAAAAACATTAAATATTAGGAATACATTTAACCAGAGATGAAATGTCTATACAATGAAACCTATAAAACATCAATAAGAGAAATTTAAGAAGACACAAATAAATGAAAAGCTATTCTCTATTCATGGATTTGATTAATATTTTTTAAATTTTCTTACTAACCAAGGCAATCTAAAGATTCAACGTAGTCCATATCAAATTTGCAGTGACACTTCCTAAAATGTATAAGAAACCACAAAAAACCTCGATAATCTAAAGTAATCTTGGATAAAAAGTACAAAGCTGGAGGCATTGTACTACCTGTTCCCAAAATATACTGCAAAGCTATAGTAATCAATACATCATGGTACTGGCATAAAAAAGACATAAACCAACAGAATAGAGAAGAGATTTCAGAAATAAATCCATGCATTTACAGTTCATTGATATTTTACAAATGTGCCAAGGATACACAATGGAGGAAAGGGCAGGCTTTTTAATAGACAATTTTAGGAAAATTAGATATCTGTATGCAGAATATTGAATCTGGATCATTATCTTACATCATATATGAAAATCAACAGCAGATGAATTACATACAGACTTAAAGGTAAGACTTGAAACTGTAAAACTGCTAACAGAAAACATAAGGAGAGCTGCTTGCTAGTAGTCTGGGCAATCATTTTTTGCATCTGACCCCAGAAGCAAAGGCAACAAAAACAAAAATAGACAAATAGGATTGCATCAAATTTAAAAGCTTTTGAATAGCCATGGTAATAATTAACAGAGTGAAGAGACAACCTACAGGCTAGGAGAAAATACTTGCAGAACTTGTAACTGATAAGCGGGTAATATCCAAGATATATAAAGATGTCAAACAATGCAATACAATAAAACAAATAACTAGATTAAAATATAGGCAAAGGACCTGAATAGACTTTTTTTTTTTTTTTGAGATGGAGTTTCGCTCTTGTTGCTCAGGCTGGAGTTCAAGAGTGCCATCTCTGCTCACTGCAACCTCCACCTCCCAGTATCAAGTAATTCTTCTGCTTCAGCCTCCAGAGTAGCTGGGACTACAGGTGTGTGCCACTATGCCCAGCTAATTTTTGTATTTTTAGTAGAGATGGGGTTTCACCATATTGGTCAGGCTGGTCTCGAACTCCTGACCTCAGGTGATCCATCCTCCTCAGCCTCCCAAAGTGCTGGGATTACAGGCGTGAGCCACCGCACCAGGCCTTACATAGACATTTTTAAAAAGATATCCAAATATGCAACAGGTATATGAAAACATGCTCATCATGACAAATCACTAGGGAATTGCAAATTGAAACCAAAATGAGGCATTTTTTATGACAAAAACTCTTAGGCTGTTAAAAAGGTAACATGGTGGTGAGGTTGCAGAGAAAAGGAACTCTTTTATACTATTGTGGAGTGCAAATTAGTAGAGGCATTATGAAAAACAGCATGGAGATTCCTCAACAAATTAAAAGTAGAACTACTATATGATTCAGCAGTTTGACACCTTGGTATATGTTCAAAGAAAGTGAAATCAGTATGTTAAAGAGATATTTGTATTTCCACATTTATTTCAACATTACTCACAATAACCAAGATTTAGAGTCAACCTCAGTGTCTATTGATAGATAAATCTGGAGATATATACATACACACACACACACACATTATGTGGAATATGCATATGAGTGTGCATACGTGTATGTGTACCACATATATGTTTATGTGTGGGTGATGGTTTACATCCACACAATAGAATATTGTTCAGCTGTTTATTATTTATTTTTTAGAAATGGGTTTTTACCACATTGCCCAGGCTGGTCTCAAACTCCTGGGCTCAAGCAATTCACCAGCCTTGGCCTCCCAAAGTGCTGCAATTACAGGAATGAGCCACTGTGTCTGGCCCTGTTCAGCCTTTGAAAGAAAAATAGAATATACTGAAAAGAAGGAAATTCTGTCCTTTGCAACAATGTAGATTAATCTGGAAGACATTTTAAGTGATAATAAACCAAAAACAGGGATCAAATACTGTATGACCTCACTTGCATGTGGAATCTAAAAGTCAAAATCATAGAACCAGACAGTACAGTGGTGATTGCCAGGGTTGAGAATGGGAGTAATATTGGTAAAAGGCTACAGTTTCAGTAGACAGGATGAATAAATGTTGGGGATATATTAAAAAACATGTTGACTATAGGTAATGATAATGTATATTTGAAAATTGCTGACAGGTTAGTTCTCAAGTGTCTTCACCGCACGCAAAAAATATCTATGCGAGGTGACGAATGTTAATTAATTTGATTATGGTATTTATTTTATAATGTATAGCTATATCAAGGCATCACGTGTACCCCACAGATAGGTACAATTTGTTGTACCTCAATAAATCTGATGAAAGAAATTGGATGTATAGTAAAAAATATAAATTATTCAAATGTAAATATATTTAATTTAGATACAAAATTAACACCATATTATTAAATTCTGATAGATGTACATTTTAAAAATAATATAGCACTTAAACTTCATTTTGGGAATCATAAAATTATATGAATGACTTCCACTGCAATATTTTAAACCTCTTTCACATTCAAAGTAATATGCATGCTATGATTAACAAAAATGAACATATATTTACAGATACATAAATATACACAGCTAGTTCAAGTTGCAATTTTAGAAAATACATTTTGGATAAATGCCTTAATATCTAAATGTGCTTCTAAATGCTTCAATTTCCAAAAGTTATTTACTTTTCATGACAAATTCATAAACCAGTTCCTGGTTTTCGACCTCATTGTGCAATGTACCTATCTTAACATGTTATAGCCACTTACCTCTGTTGGTTAAAACTATACCTCAAAAAACAAAAAACAAAATGTCTAGTATACATAACTTATTAACTGATAAATAAAGCATTATTAGTATTATACGTTATTGTAATTAAAGTTGAAAAAACAGAAATGAAAATATATATTTTATTGCAACGGAAAGAAATCTCAGCACATAATCACTAAAAAATCATTACTATTTTATCACACATATTGATTATCTAAGTCAACATTTAGTAAAACATTAAATTTTATAAATAATCTCCAATGACTAAAATTTTTTCAATCACTTAAATATTTATTTGTATTAACCAAGTGTATTTTTTAAAAGTCATTCAGTATCAATGTATTTTACTATTGTTATATTTCCTCCTTATAATGGATCTATAACATTCTTTCAGTGATGCAACAATTTCTTTTAACTTTTACTATGAAATTTCTTTATGTTTCAAGTTATGTAATTCATTTAGGCTAAAATAAAGTTAAGTCGAATGTAAAATTTATACTACATTTAAAGCATTGATAAGTGGCATTATTTATTTATGACATACTCAACGTGAAAGAGGATTGTTATCTCATATTCTGATGGTGAAGCACAGAGTATTAAAATTTAAATCTGTTTAGAGAGAAATAAAATATTTTTCATCTTATGGATGGGATTACTCAAGGAATAGTTCTTAAAACATTGTACATGAAAATATATCCATTTACTGAATTTGCCAGCTCTTCTTCTCAGGTAGGGCATTTAGCAGTTTTTAATCTTTACATGTGACCATTTATGGAATTAATGAATTAAAATTATTATAGCACTTAAACTTACATCACATTTTTCCATATAGTTATCTCATTGACCTTATTTGATGTAATATAATAAACTTGTTCTTGACATAAGATTTCAGCCTTCATATGAGAAAATTAATTTTATGAGAAAATTAATTTTTTTCACTATCTCACCATTATAATGGTGGTGAAGGAGTTTCAGGAAACAAAACACAACAGCAGTCACTTTTGTGCTCATTGGAGATCATTACACAAAGTGTATTTATTAATAAATATTGTTTCAATAACCAAATAAAATGTGTGGTCCATGTCATTGGCACTCTGCCCATTTCCTGTTCAGTATTTAATGTTTTTGTCCACACCAGACTAACTTCCAACTGCCAGCCTCTGTGACTTTCTCCCTGAGTATATTTTCTGCCGTCTGGAACCTGCTATGTCTACACCACATGTAAGTGCCAATGAACTGACATGTTCCTGGGAGCAGCTCTCAACCAGTGATTGATGGGAGTTGATGTGGATATACCCCAGATCCCTTGCCTCCAGGTGAGATCATTCTGAGCAGTGTGTACTAAATGGAGTCCCATAGTTCCAAAGCAGGACTTATCTTCAGCTGCTCACCATGGTAACTTGCTTAATAAGGCACCCTGTATTGGCTTCTTTTCCTTTCCTGTCTCATTTCTCCTCTCCTGTACAAGTGTTTCTTGAGAACAATTTCCACAAGAATTTTATGCAAATCCTCATATTACAGTCTGCTCCTTGTGAAGCTCAAAATAATGCAAGCAGTTGGACCAATAAAAATTATGTTTATACTTCTTTCAAATAGGCCTTGATAAATTAGTAAGCCATTGGGTAAATAGGCTTGCTTCTTGTCCAGGAATCCTGAGAGACTTTGATCAGCAAACAACTAATTTCTGTCAGAGAAAGCACTAAAAGAGAATCCTGGTCAAAGGAGAGGATTCTTTCAGGGGCTTCTTTATTTGGCAGATATTACAATACATTACACTCATCAGATTTCCCCTTTTGAACAGGCAACTAAAGATAGAGACTTATTATATGAGCCATTAGTTAGCCCTCCTGTATGGCATGGTTGCAATCTTCTATGTTTTATCTAGAAAATGAAATACGTATTAACACGTGGTCTGTCTCTCCAAATATCCCCATTTTGGGCCTTGATTCAGTGTTGTGATCAGCTCAAAGTAGGTAGATGGAATTCTTAACTTCCAGTTCAATACAAACACTGTTTTGTCCCCTAGTAGAAATTTTTCTCTATATATAAAACATTTTTCTTTCTCTACATATAATTTTGAGTAATAGGGAGAAAAAGCACTCCTTTGTTCAACCCCTTCATTCCCAAACCTGTGTATTCTGACTATGGGACAAAGAGTACTGTAAGTTACTTCTTGGTTCTGAGCTTTTATGGTATCTAGAATTTGCTTTGGCAGGTGTTGTCACCCAGTTTCTGATTCTTCAATAAATTCCCTCATTTTAGCTGGCCAATTAATTTAATTTATTATTAATTCATTATTTAATGAATTTATTTAGTTGGGTCATTTGGTGCATGAGACTATTTCCTCAATTTATTTGCTGTACTTTAACCGAAAAGCAATATTATAGAAAACCATGATGGTAAGTAATGGATTCAGTAAGTTCAGAGATAGTGCTAACAGAACCATTGTGGGCAGTGCAAGAGTTTATTCCAGTGCCAAGAAATCTTCTAACAAGACATCAAAAAGTCCCTAAACAACAAGAATATTCTAGGTTGGCTTGTCAGAATTCCATTGATTCAAACCATAAGAAATCAATGAGCCTAAATGGATTTAGATAGTTTATTAATCACGGTCCAGCAGAAACCTGGTGTGTGCATTGGTTCCCCTTGTCTCGTAAGTCCAATACTTCTGAATCAGAATAAGCCCAAGTGAACATTGAGCACAAAAGAGTCTGTGTCAAAACTGAGCAATACTGAGCTTAGCCAGCCCCTAATCCTATAAGGAATTTGACAGCAAACCTGCCCATCCTTTGCCCTGGAGGAAGACTATATTATACTGGTTAGGAAACAAATATACCTTCTGACCTGGAGGAAAATTCTATCTTTAGCCTTCAAGGCTGTTTGCTATTGAGACATCCTTGAAAATATATTCCTGGAGAAAAGTCATCATAAAACATACAGGAACACCACAAAGCATAGTCTCCAAACAGCTTTCAAGACAGGAGGTCCAATGTAATAAGCATGTTGCTAGGCACTGATAAATTGTGCCATATAAATTGTGCCTTTGGTCTCTGCTTTTCAAAAGTTGATCATTTAACAGTAGTACTACCAGGTAGCTCTTGATATAGAAAAGCCCGTAATAGTAGCCCATGTATTTTTTCAATTAAAATTCTACCACTATCACCACTGTTAAGGACTGTTGAATCTAACACTGAGGTACCTGGAGAGAAAGACTAATAGAGTTTCAGCCATACTGCTTATATTGAGTCATAGTCAGAATAATGATTATCACCTTACCATTAAGAGCTTCCTATGCAGGGCATGTCTTATGCAGGTAGCCATTATTACATCCTGTTTTCCTCATTAAAGACCCATTTTTTTCTACCTCTTCCTGTGCTTCTTATCATACTCTTGAAGTCATGTCCTCTTAACACAGTTGATGTCTAAGCTAATCATTAGTGACTGCCTACAAACTTATATGGATTCATATCTCTATCTCTTAATTATGAAAAACCAGATAGCCATCTTAAAATCCTACGTTTTCTACTTCATGTTTCTCCTTGATAAAGGATAGTGTTCCTGAAGTCCACATGCATGGTGCTGGCATTTCTCAGACAGCTGCACACAAGGAAATTCCCATGAGGCCAGTTGGATTAAGTTGGGGGAAAAGGTCCCAGTGCAGGGACAATGGGTATTGTTAGTGCTTGAGGCACATGATTATGCCAACAGGATATGCTGAATGAGCTGTACTTATTTAACTTCCTGGCTTGATGGGTCAGTTCATGAGTGACGGCTCATATTGCATGTTCTATTGGTAACACAAATTCAGGACTTTAGTCTTTACAAGGCTCAATGAAAGTTTGGGGCTGTATCTCAAGAGGAAAATAGTTTTCCGAAGAAAAGAATCTATCTTTGCTCCAAAATCTAAGAGTTTGCTTTGCTAGTCTTTTATTGTAGCTTTTCAACAGGTCCCCTGACAAACATTATCTCCTACTGAAAAATGTAAGAAAACTATCTGCCAAGGTATTAAGCCAAAGTGACAGAGTTCTTGCATTGCTATCTGGGTCTGCTCAAGACTTTTCTCTTGCTTTGGGTCCCAAAAACTGACAAAAATAGTTTTCCTATAGAATAAGAAAGATTGTTATAGGAAGCCCAGGCAATGTAAGTCCATCAGCCTAAAGAAACTCCATCAATCTCCACCTGCCCTTAATATCTGTGCTGAATTGCATGGAAAGGAGTCTTATTGGATAAGCTCAAATCATCGTTTCACTCTTATGGAAAATTTTGAATAGGCTTATGCCATGACATTTTCCTGTGACCAGAGAATGAAAAGAGTAAACACAAACTACATGAAGAGATGAAGGTAGAGTTTCAACAATAGGGTAGTTGCTGTGACAATAGTAAGAGGCAGTCCTACACTTAAAATTGTATGGAGTGGATATGACATAGAGAATTTTTTATTATTAAAAAATGGCTCACTGATGCCAAACCATGAGAGCCTGAAAAGTTTTACTCGATAATGTTAGAGAATGGTAATTCCATAATTTTATGTAAATTAAAATGTAAAAATAACTTATTTTCTGTATCAAAAAATGTGAATAGAACAGTATTTTCAAAGGTATATTTTATATAAATCTAGAACATAAAATTCTTCACACACACATGTGTATGTGTTTGGGTTTAACACATTGCTGATCCAAATTAATGCATATTAGTCTAGGAAATTTCTTGAGACGTCTGCAAAAGAAACCTTTTTAACCTTGTTAATTACTGAATTTGAAAAATTGATGAGGACAGAGAAGATTTTATCAGTAAAATTCCTGTTGATGTGTAACTACTAATTTTGGGACAATTGGGGAAATACTAAAGAGAATAAATCAATGTTTTATTACTTTATAAAAATATATGAGGAAATACCTATAAAAATTATTCATTTGTGTACTTATTATCAGTGGATACAAATCCAGTGGAAACACCTATAAAAATTATTGATTTGTGTACTTATCATCAGTGGATACCAATCCAGTGGCTTATTAGGAGAATTTGTGGAGTTTTTAAAAAATGCCTTCGTCCAAGCCACAGTCTAAATACATGGGATTACACAAATACAAAGATAAAATCTGGATTGAGAAAAATATATTAAGCATATATTTAATACCTATGTTTCCTAAACTATCATTTATTCAAGTGCAGGGAAGGTTTCTAGACTGTGTGAAACTTTTAAATCTTTAGCTAACATTTCTTCCACATGATAAAACACACAATTTTTAAGTGGAAGTGAATACTCTGATGCAAATATACAGTGATTCATTTTTATGGTTCAGAGGAAAATAATAACAGCTATTCATGATATTCAAAGCAACTGTTAAGTCTTTATTCGTATTCTCTTTTACAGAGTTTGTGGATTATTAGAACACAACATTCAGAGTCCTGTGAAATTGCCTTAATGATAACTGCTCATGCACTTAGTGCTTCAAAATCCCCATGAATACAGAAGTCAATTATGTGAGCAGGTGCACCCAAGTAACTAGGTTTTATGCTCACTGGGATATCACAACATTTAAATTTGATAAAGTTAATTCGCAAATATGTACATTCATACACAACAATAAGTTAATATACATTCATGAAAATGCAAATAGAGAAATCAAGGCCTGGAAAGTGATTAAGATTGCTTTTTAGAAAATTGATACAATGATTTCAGCTCCATGTAAGATTTTTCCTGAGGATAAAATCAGCATAGAAGAAAAAAATAGGCTGAAATATTATCAACCATACAACATTAACTAGAAATTTGGTGATTCTTATTAAAATAGGAAAATGAAAGCAAAATATAAATTATTGAAGTTTTCTGCAGGGGTGGAACCCTCATGCAGAACCTGTTAGGGCAGAGTAGATGGAAAATTTGGGAGATTGGAGCTCCCACACAGAGTCCCCATTGGGGCACTGCCTAGTGGAAATGTGAGAAAAGGGCCACCGTTGTCCAGATCCCAGAATAGTAGATCCACCAACAGCTTGTACCTTGTGCCTGGGAAAGCCACAGACACAACACCAGCCCATGAAAGCAGCCAGGAGAGGGTCTGTATCCTGCACACCACAGGGGCGGAGGTGCCCAAGGCTGTGGGAGAGCCCACCTTTTGCTTCCGCATGCCCTGGATGTGAGACATAGAGTTAAAGATGATCATTTCAGGGCTTTAATATTTGGCTGCCCTTCTGGATTTCAAACTTGAATAGGTCCGGTAGCCTCTTCATTTTTGTGAATTTCTCCCATTTGTAATGGACATATTTACCCAATGCCTTTATCCCCATTTTATCTAGGAAGCAACTAACCTGCTTTTCATTTTATGGGGTAACAGGTGGAAGTGACTTGCTTTGTCTCAGATGAGAATTTGGACTTGAACTTTTGGGTTAATGCTGGAATGAGTTAAGACTATGGGGGACTGTTGGGAAGAAATGATTGTGTTTTGAAATGTGAGGACAGGGGATTTGGGAGGGGTCAGAGGTGGAATGGTGTGGTTTGGCTGTGTACCCATCAAAATCTCATCTTGTACTGTAGTTCCCATTATCCCCACATGCCATGGGAGGGACCAGGTGGGAAGTAATTTAATCATGAGGGTGGTTACCTTCATGCTGTTATTGTGATAGTGAGTGATTTCTCATGAGACCTGATGGTTTTATAAAGGGCTTTTCCCCCTTCTCTTGGCCCTTCTCCTTCATGCCATCATGTGAAGATGGTTGTGTTTGGTTCCCTTTCCACCATGATTGTAAGTTTCCTGAGGCCTCCCCAATCATGCTGAAGTGTGAGCCAATTAAACCTTTTTTCCGTTATAAATTACCCAGTCTCAGGTATGTCTTTATTAGCAGTCTGAGAATGGACTAATACATTTCCTCCTGGCCACAATAATACAGCTGTTTCCTACAATCAAAATATGTTCAGTCCTCCTCGCACAGCATCAAAGTCTTCTCCCTTTAGGACATCAGCCCTAAGTTCAGAATTTCATTGTGTAAATAATGTTTTGATAATGATGAGGCTCTTTCTGTGTGCTTTCTTGAATACAGTTCTTTGTATATGGTACTTACTGAGCAGGTATTTACCTGTGAAGGAAGAGGCTAGTTATCTGCCCCTCCACTCACCCAATATACAACTGTGATAGAGAGGAATGATAACTCCCATGAGGCATTCCTAATCAAAATGAGAGAAAAACGAGCACCTATATGTGGCCTACCTATGTAGTAAGAGATTTTTGCAGGATAGAACATATCTGCTCCAAGACAGAGGATTACAAGGTGATTATTTACATATGAGGATGCAGAAGTATCCAGGCCAATTATAAACTGCATTTACAACTGGTACTATCACTTATATCA
The DNA here is from genome assembly GCF_000001405.40 of Homo sapiens. Lineage (NCBI taxonomy): Eukaryota > Metazoa > Chordata > Mammalia > Primates > Hominidae > Homo > Homo sapiens. Next base: position 116,031,205 of record NC_000004.12, read on the forward strand.
CATTTGTTTAAATCAGCCACAGTGTCTACCCAGAATGAAGGGGATAGAGATTAGGTATCTCTTAATTTAAATGCTTATATTATTAAAGAAGAAAGTTTAAAAATACAAAATCTAAGATTAGTTTTAAATAATTGAGGGGAGGGGAAGCAAATTAAGCAAAGTAAGTAAAATAAATGGAATAATAAAGATAACAGGAAAATGAATAATACAAAAAAACAGAAAGAAATTTAGTAAAGTTGATTAATACAACTGATAAAAGACTAGCAGGACCTATCAAGAATAAAAGGGAAAACAGAAATTATCAATATTAGCAGCTAAACAAGGAAGAAACTGTACAAGATACAGTATCTTTTCTATAGATACTGTAGAAAATAAAAGGAAAATGAGGAAATATGTAGCAAAACTTAATAATACATTTGATAACTTGTGTAAAAAAGATGAATCCTTTGATTAAACACAATCAACACCAAGAAGAAACAGAAAATTTGGATAACCTATGCTTATTAAACAATTTTAAATTCTAATATATCCCCCAATAGAGAAAATTCTTACACAAATGCTCTCATTGGTGAATTTTATCAATGTTCTGTGAAAAACTAATGCCATCTAACACAAACTCTTTAACGAAATTGAAGATGAGAAAAATATTTTGAATGCTAGTGGGACTGATCAATAGTATCTTTTATAAATTATAAATTATAAATTATCTATATATAATTTATAAATTTTATAAATTATAAATTATACATCATGACCAAGTGGTATTAACAGGAAATTGAATGATGGTTTAAACAATAAAAAATCAATGTAATTTATCATATTATAAAGATAAAGGATAAAAGTAGATATAGTGTCAATTGGCAAAGATAATACATTGACAAGAGTCAAAGTTCACTCAAAGAAAAAAAAAATAAGCAAACTGGGAATTAAAAGTTTCTAGGTCTGATACAGGCTATATACAAAATTAAAAAAAATGCAAATGAACACAGAAGCTACCCCTAATTTTATAGTTAATAATTTAGGAGTTGATACTCTGCCTTTAAAATTGAAAATATGTGAATAATTAATTTTACCACTTTGATACAGCATTGTACTGGAGGACTTAGCAAGTGCAACAAAAAGAAGTATAACTAGGAATGATGGCTTGTGACTAAACTCCTAGGTACTCAGGAGGCTCCTGTGGGAGGATTGCTTCAACCTGGAATTTCATGGCCAGCCTGTACAACATTGTTAGACCTCAATTACAATATTACTTTTGTAAGAGAATAAAGAATGACATAAGAGTAAGAGTATGCTACTGAATGAATTCAAACAGTAATATTAAGATGCTGATACAAATCAGAGTTTTAAATTTAAAACAAAGGTATAAGTTTTGGGAGGAAATATAACTGGATATCTTCCAAACAAGGTGAAGAAATATTTAGTTTTAGAGAGAACACAAAATTAGTAAACATAAAACAAAAACAAATTTAACTTTATCGAAATTAATAACTTCTGTACATAAAACATCCCCATTTTACAAAAAAATTTAAGCTATGTGACAGACTCTGAGAATATCTTACCAATATTACTGAACAAAGGGTTTAAACAACAGTATTGCAGCTCATTCTTTAAATTACTTGAGCCTGTCTCATAACCTCACTCCAAAAAATAACGAATGTTACCATGCCAGATAAACATATAAATTAGCAACCTCATATCAAATAAATTAAATATATTTGATAACAAGAGTGTTCCTTTTTATGAACTGCTTTTAGAAACATTTACCTTGTTAGGATTCCACATAATAAAAAAATCTATGACATAATCTATGAATTCATGGGATATGATTCCCTGTAATAAGCAAATACTAAACAAGAAAGTAACCAGCTATTTCATTAGAAAGCTATGAAATAAAGTTATTTCATGAATAAGAAGCTTCCTTTTGTGTAATTTATGACCTAATTTGTTAATCTATATCTTGTATGAAAAGGAACGACCTGGGGAGCGGTGTGGATTGTCTCAAAACTCTTACTGCCTTGCCTGTGACACTGTTACTTATATTCTTAAAGTTACCAGTAATATTTGATAATGTGTAAGATCTCTGAATCACAAAAGTCCCACTTGACTATGCTATCTCTTAACTCTTTATCTCTCTCATCCTTTTCTCTCCTTTTCTCTGTCTCTCCCACTCTTTCTCTCTCCATCTCTCACTCTCTCTCATTTCTTCCTTGGTCATCAGGGAACTACAAAGTAGAAACACCGTGAATCATCCCCTTATATTCAGTAGAACTGCAAAAAATTAAAATTGAAATTAAAATCACCAACAGCAGTAAATATTGGCAAAGAAGTGGAGCAACTGGAACTCTGAGGTAATGCTGGATCACTTCTCTGCCTTTTGGCTAAGATCAAGTGATAGAACACTGGTGAAACTACAAACTGTAACAACTGTTTTAGAATAAAATATTTTTCACTCCTGGATGTTTAACCAAGAGAAATAAAAACATATGTCTTAAAAGAGACTTTATAAGAATGTTTATAGAGTTTTATCCATCATATCCTGAGATAGATATAACTCACATGTCTATCAACATTAAAATGGATGTCTTAGCCTCTCCAATGAATAAAGGAGGTAAGATAGAAATAATCACTCCGGTACCACAGTAGACAGGCCTTGAAGGTATAGAGTGGACTTGGCAAGTATTTTTTTTCCCTGTGACCTTCCAGTTGAAAACAAATTAGTTACTAATAGACTTAGGCAAATAATATACTTCATGGAGGCACATAACCCCAACCAATATAGCCACTAAGAAAATTGTAACGATTTGAGTTGGTCTGGTGGAATTATCTCCAGCCTTCTCCCTGTATCCAGTTACAGCAATAAATTCTCTTCTTTCATAAAAAAGTAAAAAAAAAAAAGAACGGATGAACAAATGTTAATTATACATAAGAAGAAATATACTCAGAAATGTACAAATAATGGAATATTAATATGCACAACAATATGAATAAATCACAACAAATATTATGTTAGCAAAAATCACGTTGGGCAAAGGATGTCAGACAGAAATGCAGGTATACCCTATGACTACATTTATATAAAAGTTCAACAACAGGAGAAACTAATCTATGGTAAGCAAAAGTTCAATGGTAGTGACATATGAGTATAGAGACTGACTGGTAGTTGTTGCTTGGAAGGTTGGTGGTCCTCAAGCCAACTCTCAGTTTTGATGATTCACTAGAAGAAGTCATAACTCAGAAAAACTGATACTCATGGTTATGTTTTATTACAGTATAAAGATACAAGTGAAAATTAGCAAAGATAAAGGCACATACAATGTAATCCAAATGAAGTCAAGCACAAACTTCCAGTTTTTCTCTCTCAGTAGAGTCATGTAGACAGCACTTAATTCTTCCAACAATAAAGTAAATATGAAGTATTTCATATTTCCAACAATAAAGTAAAAGCAAATATGAAGTTTTTCTAACCCCTGGTGTCCAGGGATTTTATTGGGGGTTACTCACATAGGTGTGGGTGATACATATGACAGATTTACTCTACTAAGTCTCCAGAACCCTCAGAGTTTAAACTGATACTGAATGGAACAGTTAAGATGCAGAAGTAAATTCTTTCAATTTACATAAATAGTGGAAGACAGATGTGAAAGTACAATGCAGGTTCTCTGGTTACAAATTCCACTTTTTCTTAAACATAAAAAGTTACCTCATCTAGATGTGTCTCTCTGTATCAAGCTCTCCAAATTAATAAAGTAATTATCTATTAGCCTAGTTTTACCTTATATTAATAAAAAAATGTGGAGGGGGAGTGTGTGAAGTTAATATTTTTGAAAATATATTTTAATAACGGAATTTAACATGTAAAATATAAAATCCAGCACAGATACTGTAACAACAAAAGCTCTATTTATGACATTAGGGCGGAATAAAACAAAATAATAATAGGAAGGGACTATAATTTGATATATATACACATAGATTTATATATCTAAATTTAAAATGATGCAGTAAAAGTTCTAGAAGTAGTTAAGTAAAGATGGAAATGATCAAAATTACGTTTAATGTTAATAAAAATAATACTTTCAAGTTATAGAAGATACTGTAACAACAAAAGCTGTGTTTATGAGATTATGGAGGAATAAAACATAAAATAATGATAGGAAGGAACTATAATTTTAAATATATACATAGATTTATATATAAATTTAAAATAATGCAGTAAACATTCTAGAAGTAGATGAGAATGGTTAAAATTACATTTTATGTTAATAAAAATAATAGCTACAAGTTACAGAGCACTTTCAATAAATTATATATGCTCTCAACAACACCGCAACATAGGTACTACTAATATTTTAATCTTATAAAACAGAAAACTAAGTAGCAGAGGAATTAATAATTTTCAAAATCACAAATACCTAGTAAGCTTGTAGAACCAGAGTTTTGACATAGGCTGTCTAGATGCATACTCTTTGCTATGAAACCGTATTCCACACTCTATCTCACAGTAAATTATGTTGGCATTGTAAATGTTATCAAATATAAATAAATTAGTTAACAAAGAAGCCAAATAAATTGTATATACATAAATATTCTTTAATTGGTTTAAAGAAATATTCATTTTAGCAATTTTATGAAATTATAGAAACATAGGAGGATTAAGAAATGATTAATATATTTGAACTTAATATTCAATATATTTTAAAGAATTATGCATTTCCTTATGACAAGAGTAATCATAAAGATATTCAAGATAAGCATCTGTCTGATAGAAAACAGTTGCCTCATATTTGATGCGTATTAGTATCACTTGATATGTAGCGAATAATTGGAAATTACGAACAAATGCAAGAGGTAAATAAACAGGAATAACAGAATAAAAAATGGAAAAATTTATGAAAAAATGCTTGAATTCAAACTAAGGAAATAGAAATCAAGTTTATGATAGGGAAATCTGAATTTTTTTGGCATAAAAAGCAATGCAAAATAGGTTAAAAAGCCATAAAATATATTGACCAATACACTGAAATGGTCTAGTAGGGAAGGTTTAATGAACATTTAAACAGGTTCCATCCTAGTTCTCTAAGATTTTCTTAGCATTCTCCCATTTCTGTTTGCTTGCCTCTTTTAACATGGCTCTTTTCAGGTTTTCAAAATAGTAGCCCACAGCAAATAAGGTTGTTTGTTTCCTGAGTCACATCAAGGTGTAGGAAAAAGAGTACTTCTTCCCTACTTAATAAATAAATTTTGCATTTCATTACAATTGCCCATATATCTCATCTGACAAACAACTGTGGGAAGAGAAATGATATTGTCTATATGGGTATGCTTAGTTAAGCTATTTAGGTTGGTGCAAAAAATTGCGGTTACCACAATACACTGTTAATGGATGTGATAATTGCTAAAAATATATACAAATTAGTTAGCTGTCATATTTTGTAACTTAAAATTCACGTACACTAAGAATATTAAAGTCTGTCTCATAAATACATTTGCACTTATGGAAACAAAGATATAAATATGTATGACAATGGCAGCATTATTTGTAATAAGCATTATTACCTGTCATCAAGTAATATATATATTGAGAAGGGGTAGTTAAAATATTCTGGTATGTGCAAAAATGGAATTCTTGTAAGCTATTTACAAAAACAGTTAGACCATACCAAGAACATTCATAGGTGAAAGTCTTTTCAACAAATAGTGCTGGGAAAAACGGGTATTGATATGCAAAAGAATATAGTTGAACTCACCTTGCATCATGTATAATAATTTACTCAAAAGGTATTAAAAATATAACATGAAAGCTACAACTATAAAACTCATAGAAGAAAACATGGGGAAAGCTTCATGACATTGGATTTGGCAATGATTTCTTTGATATGACACTAAACATAGACAACAACAAAAAATATATAAATCGGACTTCATCAAAATTGAGAATGTTTGTCTATTAAAGGACACCATCAACAGAGTGAGCAAACAGCACACATAATGGGAGAAAATATTTATAAATCATATATCCGATTAGGGATTAATATCCAGGACATATAAAGAACTCTTACAAATCATCATCATCAACAACAACAACAAACAAATGTAAAAGTTGTCAGAATCAAAATAGAGTCATCAATGTTATGAAAACCCTGATAAACAGAGTTAGAGAAGTCAATGAAAAGAGGGTTCTCACACTTCTATGACTAAAAAAAAGACTCCACAAAACACACAACCTTGCACAAAGGCCATCACAACCTTATATGCAATATACTTCTGCAAAAACAACTGCCCAGCACTGTCTGCCCAACGTTAGACTAGTGTTAAGCTGTTACTGATCTCTGTAGTTGGGTATCATTATTTAAAAACAACTATAAAATCCTTCTTATTTTTTCCTTTAAAAACTTTCGTCTTTCTTTACCTTGCTGAATATGCACATAGTTTACTATGGCATGTGTATTCTCATTGAAATGCTCTATTCCCAAATAAATATCTTTTTCTTTTAGAGAACCTTTCTTAGTTTATTGGATTGACACAAACAACTGAATTAAAAAATGGGCAAGGACTTGAATAGATATTCCTCTAAATAAATTATATGCATGGCCAATAAATACATGAAAAGATACTCATCTCCTATCATTAGAGAAATGCAAATCAAAACCACAGTTGGATACCACTTCATATCCATCAGGCAGATATTATAAGAAAACAAAAACAAAAACAAAAAAATAACAAATCGGTGAGGATGTGGAAAAATTGAACCTATTGTGCCTTGCTGGTGAAACTGTAAAATGGTGCATCTGCTATGGAAAATAGTACACTGGTTCTTTAAAAATTAAACATAGAATTACCATATGATACAGGGACTCCATTTCTGGGTATCTATACCCAAATGAGTTAAAAACAAGGACTCAAACAAATATTTGTATACCCATGTTCACAGCAGCATTATTTATAATACCCAAAAGGAGGAAACAACTCAAATGTCAATCAGTGCATAAATGGATAAACAAAATGTGGTATATTCATACAATGGGATATTATTCAGCCTTAAAATGGAGTTAAATTCTGACACATGCTACAATATGGATGAAGATTGAAGATTTTAAGCTAAGGGAATATGTCAGACTCAGACAAATGTTGTATAATTTTCATCATATGAAGTACCTAGTGTACTAAAATTTATAGATACAAAAAGTAGAATAGTACTTGCTAGGGCCAGGGGGAGGGAATGATGGGGAGTATTTGTTTAATGGCACAGAATTTCAGTTTGGGAAAATAAAAATCTTCTGGAGATGGTGGTGATGATAACTGCAAAATAATGTGAATATACTTAATGCCACTGAATTGTACACTTTAAAATGCTCAATTCTATGATATGCACATTTTACCACAATTTACAAACTGGCAAAAATTAGACCTATATGTTCTCTATCTATGAAAATATATACTTAAAACAGATAGCAACAGATATGTTAAAATATGATATGCATGTAAATGCATAGAAAATGCCGAACAGGTGAAAGAAGAGGGTTGAGATTTTGTATTTATGTTTGCTGACACATTTTTCTTTGTTACAGTCCTGCCCTTATCTGTTACTGACAATGTATTCATGTCTTGTACTAAAAAACATCAAATAGCAATAAGGAAATCCCTATAATATACAACACATTAATTTCTGATAAACACATGCACGTTATACCAATAAAACAAGAAAAAATATACAACTTGAGGAAAAAATAAAGCAGTGATTTCAACGATTTAATCACAGGATTTATTTTTATACTTCCAAGAGGATGACCATATTTTCCTTTTGTATAGGGAATCACAAAAGATGAGTATGAGAATTAGGACATCAATTAAGAAAGATAGACGTGAAATTGTTACTTCCTCTTTTAGAAACACCCTTATGCCTAACCTTTTTCTTGAACCTAACAAGATGATTTTTTTCAGGGAGCTGAAAAAGGCAAATACAGAAAGGGAGAGGCTAGGGGCAAAAAAAAACTGAGAAATGTCAGGGACATTGGTGTCATATGAATCATGAAACACAAAAATGCCTAGGATCTTCAATAACTAATAAACTCTCATGTTATAATAATCTTCATCATGCGTTTGCTAATCTCAGTAAGGTAGTTTAATAACACCAAAAATAACTCATACTCTTAACCACATCAAGTTGTTTTAAACGAAGGCCCTTCAAAAATGAAGACATAAGCCCCTTGTTCTATTTGGATCAATGTGTCTGAGTACCTGCTTGATCCTTCTAAACCCTGTTTAATCTGAGGACATAGTTCTGTCTACTTGTCTTACATTACTGCCACATCTATCTGATATACTTCTCTTTAAATAAAGTCACTTAAGAGCTTCTGCTCCCAAAGGACAAGTAAAACTTGTAGGCTTTTAGATAATGTTTCTGCAGTGGTAATATTGGGAGTGGGGAGATTCTATCAACAGTAGCTAACACATTTTCATAGGTTACGTCCTTCTAATCATTATTTCAAAAATGGGCCTTCTATTATGGAAACAACATATAGACATTGAGTTATTTTATAAGATACAGTAATTTTAAGAACATAGCAGATTGCAATAGTACTTTGGGCATTTATATTATTGCAACTCATGTTCTTTTAATGGCAACCCAGCCACTAGACAACAGTAATGGTACATTCTGAAAGTATTAAACATCCGCAATTGAGAATTACTTTCTGAGGAAACAAGAATTCATGAAAAAAATATTTTTTCCAAAAGAGTCCCTTGGTACTATTTAAAAAATGTGGTTCTAACTGGTTAAAAGGATAAATACTATCAATGAGGAAAAATTTGAACAGAAGTAAAAACATTACCAGTCTAAGCTTAAATAAACAAACCAAACTTTCTCTACACAGCAACTTAAAGACAAGTGAAATCTGGACACACAGACAGTATCTCTCTGCCTCACACAGATACACACACATTATCCTAATTTTAGATAGATGGATAGATGGATATCACATTTATGTATAGATATATATGTGGAGTAGAATCATTCTTAACCACTTTTAACTAAGCAGTTTTTGTGCCAGATAATTTTGCCGTTTTCTCTCCAAAGCATGATAGTTGCTCCCAGCACATTGAATGACTACACCATTTCTTATGTGGTAAAAGCAAAATAGTACTGAAGTAATATATATATATATATATATATATATATATATATGATAAGATATATATATTATATATAAGATATATATTATATATAAGATATATCTATTATATATAATAGATATATATTATATATAAAAATATATGATATATATAATATATAAATATATATAAGATATCTATATTATATATAAATATATATATTCTTCAGAATCCATCAATTAAATTCTATTATTAACAAGAATCAATTATGTTTGTTCACAAACGAAACTTGTAGATGTGGGAAAAATAACCTTTTTTTAAAGCTATACATAATGCTTGTAAAAAACTCAAATGTGAGTTACCAAAAGAAAGTTAACAATGTGGGAAAGAAATTGTAAACTTCTTTTTTTTTAATCACGAAAGTGAGTAAGAGTTTCAAATCAGGTTGCTATACATGAATATCTGTTCTTGTGACTGTGTTTGTCCTAAACGCCTTGAGTAAATACTATTTGTTACAGGGTAAGTATAATGAGTTTGTGTCTCTTCTTAGCAGTAAGCTCAGAAGTAGACAAGTGACTGAGTTCTAGCTTTTGGGATAGTTTTATCATTTTATAAGTGAACTCAGATGAACGAACCATGTTCTCTCTTTGGCGTCAGTGTATAAGAATGTAGCTCCTACTCTTTTTTGACCATAAAGGAGGGAGATAACCATACAGAGGATGGCAGGGGCCAAAAGCAGGCAGTAGTTGGGTCCTTGAAAACATCGCTGAGATGCTAAATTAACCAAACTCTGCTGTACTTAGGAACATCTTATTTGTAACAATATATCTTATTGTTTGAGTTTTCTATTACTCCTTGCTGAAAGGATCCTACTGAGTACATTAATGGTAGGCCAGCATTTTTCAAATGTGTCTATATACTAGGCTTACTTGAGACATTAAAATGTAGCAATGCCCAATACACACCCTCAGCAGGGTAAATCACAATCGCCAGGCATTGGTGATTTAAAAATTTCTCCATTTGACTCCATTTTACAGCCCTTGTTCAGGAGCACATAGGTAGAAAGATGAGTTTTCTCTGCAGTACTATAAAGTCTTCGACTCAACTACCTCTTCTGTTAAATAAAAGAACAGATTTTTGGAGTCTGTGTAAGTTAAAGCTCTTAAGATCAGGAGAGCAGGCTGCCTCTTTATTCTGTGTTGGAACTGCTTTATCTTTACTCCAGTGTCTCCAACTGAGCAAGTTTAAGTCACTACAGGCTCTTCTCTGTTTCTACCTTTGGAAACATCACTACTGGGCAGAGTGGTCACTTTCTTAGGGAAAGAGTTGTTTATGCTTTCATTATGTGTGACATCACTTTTGACAACTGCTGTGTATTCATTGGGAAGAGGAGGGACTCAAACAAGACTGGCCATATGTTCATTAGGAAATAATTAACTTCATTTTTTGATAATGATAATTATCTTAAGTGCTTAAAATCCATATCTGTTTGTTTTTGTAGTTTTTAAATAACCAAACATGGAAATTTGCATGAGTTCCACTGCAGAAAAAGAAAAAAAAAGCTGCCGTTACCTTTTCAGCAACTTGAATTATGGTAACTCAATTCTAGCTTTCCTGGAATTGTATTATAATACCTGTTTTTTAGGAGTGTCCCAAATAATTGATCTATTGATGGTGTTTTCTTTCTTTTCATTTGACAACTGTTATTTCATTTGTTTGTTTATATCTTTAATGTTATTTCAATGAGATTTTTAAAAGAATTGTGATGAAGATGTGTTATATTTATGTTATTGGAGTCTTTTTAGGTTTCACCATATATTATAAAATGAACTATAATATAGCCACAACCAAAGTAATGCCAGGGATAACTAGTTATTTAATTACCTGTAACTGTAACTGTAATAGCTCTTATACATGCGGTTCAGATAGAAAGATAATTGATAGGTAGATAGATAGATGAATAGGTAGATAGATAGATGCCTTTATAAAGTAGACAGAAAGCCTGTGAAGATAGAACTGGAGCTTCTTTTCTTTTCTTTTTATTTATTGTATTATTTGTCTTTTTTTTTCTTTTTTTTGCAGACAGAGTTTCACTCTGTCACTCAGGCTCGAGTGCAGTGGTCCTTTCATCGCCACTCATCACCTTCCAGGTTCAAGCGATTCTCCTACCTCAGCCTGCTGAGTAGCAGGGATTACAGGGCCTGCCACCAACCTGGATAATTTTTTTTTGTATTTTAAGTAGAGACGGGGTTTCTCCATGTTGGCCAGGCTGGTC